>NC_000001.11:245578060-245729576 GCF_000001405.40 Homo sapiens | reverse complement strand
TAAGACTTGTTTAAGACCTTTTAGACTCTTAAATTCCTTGTAGACCTTTGTCAGATGGCTAGATTGCAAAAATTTTCTCCCTTTCTGTAAGTTGTCTGTTCACTCTGATGATAGTTTCTTTTGCTGTGCAGAAGCTCTTTAGTTTAATTAGGTCCTATTTGTCAATTTTTGCTTCTGTTGCAATTGCTTTTGGTGTTTTTGTCATGAAATCTTTGCCTGTGCCTATGTCCTGAATGGTATTGCCTAGATACTCTTCTAGGGTTTTTATTGTTTGAGGTTTTACATTTAAGTCTTTAATACATCTTGAGTTAATTTTTGTCAGGTTTATCAAAGATCAGATGGTTGTAGGTGAACGGTCTTATTTCTGAATTCTCTATTCTGTTTCATTGGTCTATGTGTCTGTTTTTTACTAGTACCATGCTGTTTTGATTACTGTAGCCTTGTAGTATAGTTTGAAGTTGGGTAGTGTGATGCCTCCAGCTTTGTTCTTTTCGCTTAGGATTGTCTTGGCTATACAGGCTCTTTTTTAGTTCCATATGAATGTTAACATAGTTTTCTAATTCTGTGAAGAATATCAGTGGTAGTTTAATGGGAATAGCACTGAATCTGTAAATTACTTTGGGCAGTATGGTCATTTTCATGATACTGATTCTTCCTATCCATGAGCATGGAATGTTTTTCCATTTGTTTATGTAGTTTCTGATTTCCCTGAGCAGTGGTTTGTAGTTCTCCTTGAAGAGTTCCTTCACTTCCCTTGTTAACTGTATTGCCAGGCATTTTATTCTGTTTGTAGCAATTGTGAATGGGAGTTCATTCATGAGTTGGTTCTCTGCATGCCTGTTGTTGGTGTATAGGAGTGCGTGTGATTTTTGCACATTGATTTTGTATCCTGAGAATTTGCTGAAGTTGCTTATCAGCTTAAGAAACTTTTAGGCTGAGACAGTGGGGTTTTCTAGATATAGGATCATGCCATCTGCAAACAAAGACTATCTGACTTCCTCTCTTCCTTCTTGAATACCTTTTATTTTTTTCTCTTGTCTGATTGCTCTGGCCAGAACTTCCAATACTATGTTGAATAGGAGTAGTTGAGAGAGGGCATCCTGTCTTGTGCTGATTTTCAAGGAGAATGCTTCCAGCTTTTGCCCATTTAGTATGACATTGGCTGTGGGTTTGTCATATATGGCTCTTATTATTTTGAAGTATGTTCCTTCAATACTTAGTTATTGAGAGTTTTTAACATGAAGCGATGTTTACTTTTGTCAAAGGCCTTGTCTGCATCTATTGAGATAACCATGTGGTTTTTGTTTTTAGTTCTGTTTGTGTGATGAATTACATTTACTGATTTGTGTGTGTTGAACCAACCTTGCATCACAGAGATGAAGCCTACTTGACTGTGGTGGATAAACTTTTTGATGTGCTGCTGGATTTGGTTTGCCAGTATTTTATTGAGGATTTTTGCATTGATGTTCATCAGGGATAGCGACCTGACGTTTTCTTTTTTCTTTTCTTTCTTCTTTCTTTCTTTCTTTTTCTTTTTTTTTTTTTTTTTTTTGTGACAGAGTTTTGCTCTCGTTGCCCAGGCTGGAGTGCAATGGCACAATCTCAGCTCACTGCAACCTCTGCCTCCTGGGTTCAAGCGATTCTCCTGCCTCAGCCTTCCCAGTAGCTGGGATTACAGGTGCCTACCTCCATGCCCAGCTAATTTTTTGTAGTTTTAGTAGAGATGGGGTTTCACTTGTTGGCCAGAGTGATCTCGAACTCCTGACCTCAGGTGATCCACCCGCCTCAGCCTCCCAAAGTGCTGGGATTACAGGTGTGAGCCACTACACCCAGCCTGAAGTTTTCTTTTTTTTTTTTTTTTTTTTTTTTGGACCTCTGCCAGGTTTTGGTATTAGAATGATGCTGGCCTCATAAAATGAGTTAGGGAGGAGTCCCTCCTTTTCAATTGTTTGGAATAGTTTCAGTAGAAATGGTACCAGCTCCTCTTTGTACCTCTCGTAGAATTCAGCTATAAATCTGTATGGTCCTGGGCTAGTTTTGGTTGGTAGGCTATTTATTACTGCCTCAATTTTAGAACTCACTGTTGGTCTATTCAGGGATTCAATTTCTTTCTGGTTCAGTCTTGGGAGGGTATATGTGTCCAGGAATTTATCCATTTCTCCTAGATTTTCTAGTTTATGTATATATAGGTATTTATAGTATTCTCTGATGGTTGTTTGTATTTCTGTGGGATCAGTGGTGATATCCCCCTTATCCTTTCTGACTGTATCTATTTGGTTCGTCTCTCTTTTCTTCTTTATTAGTCTAGCTAGTGGTCTATTTTATTTTTTTCAAAAAACCAACTCAGATTCATTGATTTTTTTTGAAGTTTTTTTTGTGTGTGTGTCTCTATCTCCTTCAGTTCCCTTCTGATCTTGGTTATTTCTTGTCTTCTGCCTGCTTTGGGGTTTGTTTGCTCTTGGTTCTCTAGTTCTTTTCGTTGTGATGTTAGGTTGTGTATTTGAAATCTTTCTAGCTTTTTGAGGGCATTTAGTGCCATAAATTTCCCTCTTAGCACTGCTTTAGCTGCATCTCAGAGATTCTGGTATGTTGTCTCTTTGTTCTCATTAGCTTCAAAGAACTTCTTGATTTCTGCCTTAATTTCATTGTTTACCCAGGGGCCATTCAAGAGCAGGTTGTTCAATTTCCATGTATTTGTGTGGTTGTGGGTGAGTTTCTTAATCTTGAGTTCTAATTTGATTGTGCTGTGGTCTGAGAGATTGTTTGTTAAGATTTCAGTTATTTTGTGTTTGCCGAGGAGTGTTTTACTTCCAATTATGTGATGATTTTGGAGCAAGAGCCACGTGGCAATGAGAAGAATGTATATGCTGCTGTTTTTGGGTGGAGAGTTCTGTAGATATCTATCAGGTACACTTGACCCAGAGCTGAGTGCAGGTCCTGAATAGCTTTGTTAATTTTCTGTCTCATTGATCTGTCTAATATTGACAGTGGGGTGTTAAAGTCTCCCACTGTTATTGTGTGGGAGTCTAAGTCTCTTGGTAGGTCTCTAAGAACTGGCTTTATGAATTTGGGTGCTCTTGTATTAGATGCATATATATATATTGGGTGCATATGTATTTAGGATAGTTAGCTCTTCTTGGTGAATTGAACCCTTTACCATCATGTAATGCCCTTCTTTGTTTTTTGTTTGTTTGTTGGTTTGTTTGTTTTTTGAGACAGAGTCTTTGCCACCCAGGCTGGAGTTCAGTGGTGCGATCTTGCCTCACTGCAGTCTTTACCTCCTGGGTTCAAGCAATTCTTGTGCCTCAGCCTCCCAAGTAGCTGGGATTACAGGTGTGCACTGCCACGCCCTGCTAATTTTTGTATTTTTATTACAGACGGGCTTTTGCCACGTTGGCCAGGATGATCTCACACTCCTGATTTCAAGTTACCCACCAGCCTTGGCCTCCCAAAGTGCTAGGGTTACAGACATAAGCCACTGTGCCCGGCCTTCTTTGTCTTTTTTGATTTTTTGTTGGTTTAATCTCTGTTTTGCTGGAACCAGATTTGCTCTCCCTGCTTTTTCCTGTTTTCCATTTGCTTGGTAAAATTTCCTTCATCCCTTTATTTTGAGCGTGTGTGTGTCTTTGCATATGAGATGTATCTCTTGAATACGGCACACTGATAGGGCTTGATTCTTTATCCAGCTTGCCATTCTGTGTCTTTTAATTGGGGCATTTAGCCTGTTTACATTTAAGGTTAATACTGTTATGTGTGAATTTGATCCTGTCATCATGATGCTAGCTGGTTATTTTTGCAGACTTGTTTATATAGCTGCTTCGTAGTGTCACTGGTCTGTGTACTTTAGTGTATTTTTGTAGTGGCTGATAATGGTTTTTCTTTCCATATTCAGTGCTTCCTTCAGGAACTCTTGCAAGGCACCCTGGTGGTGTTGAATTCTCTCAGCGTTTGCTTATCTGAAAAGGATCTTCTTTCTCCTTTGGTTATGAAGCTTAGTTTGTCCAGTTATGAAATTCTGGGTTGGAAATTCTTTAAGAATGTTGAATATTGCCCCCAAATCTCTGGCTTGTGGGGTTTCCACTAAGAGGTCTGCTATGAGTCTGATGGGCTTCCATTTGTAAGTGACCTGGTCTTTATCTCTGGCTGCCCTTAACATTTTGTCTTTCATTTCAACCTTGGAGAATCTGATGATTATGTGTCTTAGGGTTGATCTTCTCATGGAATGTCTTACTGGGGTTCTCTGCATTTCCTGAATTTGAATGTTGGCCTGTCTTTCTAGGTTGGGGAAGTTCTGGATGATATCCTGAAGTATGTTTTCCAACTTGGTTTCATTTTCCCCATCTCTTTCAGCTACCCCAATTAGTCATAGGTTCGGTCTTTTTACATAATCCCACATTTCTCGGAGGTTTTGTTTGTTCCTTTTTTTTTTCCTCTATTCTTGTTTGTTTATCTTAATTCAGCCAGATAGTTTTCAAGCTCTGAGATTCTTCTCCCGCTTGGTCTGTTTGGCTGTTGATACTTGTGATTGCATTATTGTGAAGTTCTTGTGTTGTGGTTTTCAGCTGCATCAGGTCATTTCTGTTCTTCCCTAAACTGGTTATTCTGGTTATCAGCTCCTGTAATGTTTTATCATGATTCTTCTCTGTTTCGCACTGGGTTAGAACACGGTCCTTTGGCTCAGTGAAGTTTGCTATTACCCACCTTCTGAAGCCTGCTTCTGGCAATGTATCCATCTCAGTCTCAGCCCAGTTCTGTGGCCTGGCTGGACAGATGCTGCCATCATTTGAAGGAGAAGAAACACTCTGGCTTTTTGAGTTTTTAACATCTTTGTGTTGATTCTTTCTCATCTTTGTGGACTTATCTACTTTTGATCTTTGGGTTTGCTAACGTTTTAATGGGTTTTTATGGGGTCTGTGCTGTTGTTGTTTTTCTTTCTGTTTGTTTTTCTTTTAATAGGCCCCTTTTTGTAGGGCTACTGTGGTTTGCTGGAGGTCCACTCCAGACCCTAGTTGCCTTGGACCCTCCTGCACCTAGAGGTATCACCAGTGAAGGCTGCAAAACAGCAAATATGACAGCCTGCTCCTTCCTCTGGGAGCTCCATCCCAGGGGTCCCGACCTGATGCTGGCCCAAATGCTCCTCTAGAAGGTGTCTGGAGACCCCTATTGGGAGGTCTTACCCAGTCAGGAGGAATGGGACCCATTTAAAGAAGCAGTCTGGCTGCCCCTTGGCAGAGCAGGTGTGCTGCAGTGGGAGGAGCCCCTCTTTTCCAGATCACCTGGACTTTCCAGAGCCAGCAGGCTGAACCATAGATACGGTGGCCGCCCCTCCCCACAGTGGCTCCATCCCAGGGAGAGATCGGAGTTATGAAATTCCCACAGGGAGGCCCCACCCAGTGAGGAGGGATGGGTCAGGGTCCCACTTAAAGAAGCAGCCTGGCCGCGATCTACCACAGCAGCTGGCTGCGCGGCATGGCGCTGAATTCCTTTTGGTCTGGACCTTGCAGACTCCTGGAGTTGGCAGGCCAAAATGGCTGACTTGAGCCATGTAGATGGCGGCTGCCCCTCCCCCTGGGAACTTGGTCATCTCCGGCAATCTCCAGCCTGCTCCCACAGGCTGGCTAGAATTCCAAGTCAGTGGGTTTTAACTCGTGAGGTGCTATGGGAGTGGGGCCTGCAGGATGACGCTGCTTAGTGTCCTGGCTTTAGCCCCCTTCCTAGGGGAAAGCTTGGAAGATCTCCTGTCTCACTGGAATTCCCGGGGTGGAGTATGCAAGAAACTCCTGGGTCTTTGTGCATGGCCAAGCAGCTGCGAGAGTTCACACAGCTCTGTGCTTGGGAACCAAGGCCTTGCTGGGTGCACAAGGGGATCTCCTGATCTGCGGGTTGCAAAGATCCATGGGAAAAGCATGGCTTCCTGGGGGGGCGTTGTACAATCACTCACCACCTTTCTTGCCTGGGGTGAGGGCTCACCTGGTTCCACCCCGCTCAAGGGTGGGCTGTTGCCCCACCCTGCTTTTCCTCACTCTCTTGGGTTGCACGGACCACCCAGGCAGGCCCAATGCAATGGTTATTTTGTGGTCTTCTCCTTCTTATTTCCTTCCTTCCTGTCTTTCTTTTAGTGAAAGTGATTTTCTCTGGTGGTAGGATTTAATTTCTTGCTTTTTATTTTTGGCATATCCATTGTATGTTTTTTGATTTGAGGTTACCATTAGGCTTACAAATAATATCTATTACCCATTATTTTAAGACTGCTTGCATAAACAAAGAAGCAAAAAATCCTAATAATGGTTAGGTTAACTACACTTTAATTTCATCCCGTGTTTTTTAACTTTTTAAATTTATATATTAAATTTATATATTTTTAACTTTTAAATGTATGTATTATTGTATTGTCTATGTCTTGAATAGTTGTAGTTATTATTTTTTATTAGTTCATCTTTTAGTCTTTTCTACTCAAGGTAAGAGTAGTTTACAAGCCAGAGTTACAATGTTTAATATTCTGTGTTTTTCTGTGTGCTTACTATTACCAGTAAGTTTTGTATTTTCAGATGATTTCTTATTGCTCATTAACATCCTTTTCTTTCTGATTGAAATACTTCCTTTAACATTTCTTGTAGGACAGTTCTAGTCTTTGTTGAAATCCCTCAGCCTTTGTTTATCTGAGAAAGTATTCTTCCTTCATGTATGAAGGATATTTTCGATAGATATTCTATTCTAGGGTAAAAGTTTTTTTCCTTCAGCACTTTAAATATGCTCTTCTCGACTATCAGTTCTCCACTGAGAAGTCGGCTGCTAGCTATATTGAAACTCCAATGGGTTATTTGTTTCTTTTATTTTGCTGCTTTTAGGATCTTTTCTTTATTGTTGACCTTTGGGAGTTTGATTTTTAAATGCTTCGAGGTAGTCTTCTTTGAGTTAAATCTGCTTGGTGTTCTGTAGCCTTCTTTTACTTAGATATTGATATCTTCTGGGTTTGAGGTGTTCTCTGTTAACCCTTTGAATAAACTTTCTATCCCTATCTCCTTCTCTACCTCCTCTTTAAGGCCAATAACGGATGCATTCTTCAGTATGTCATTTGCAATTTCAGCTCCAGAATTTCTGCTTGATTCTTTTTAATTATTTTAATCTCTTTGTTCAATTTATGTGATAGAATTCTGAATTCCATTTCTGTGTTATCTTGAATTTCTCAGAGTTTCCTCAAAATGGCTGTTTTGAATTCTCTGTCTGAAAAGTTGCATATCTCTGTTTCTCTGGGATTGTTCCCTGATGCCTGATTTAGTTCATTTGGTGAGGCCACATTTTCCTGAATGGTTTTGATGCTTGTGGATGTTCTTTGGTGTCTGGGCATTGAAGAGTTAGGTACTTATAGTCTTTGCAATCTGGGCTGTTTGTGCCTGTTCTTCTTGGGAAGGCTTTTGAGGTATTTGAAAGGACTTGGGTGTGTTATCTAAGTCATGTTTGTATTACAAGGCACCCCAAGCCTGGTAACACTGTGGTTCTTGCAGACTCATAGAGGTACCACCTTTGTGGTCTTGGATAAGATCTGCAAGCGTTCTCTGGATACCAAGCAAAGATTCTTGTTCTCTTCCCTTACTTTCTCCCAAACAAACATAGTCTCTCTCTCTGTGCTGAGCTACCTGGAGTTGGGTGTGAGGTGACACAAGCTCCCCTGTGGCCACTATCACTGGGGCTGCACTGGTCAGACCTGAAGCCAGCACAGTAGTGAGTTTCACCCAAGGCCTGCTAGAAGCACTACCTGGCTATGGCCTATATTTGCTCGAGGCCCTGGGGCTTTACAGTAAGCAGGTGGTGAAGCCAACCAGGCATGTGTCCTTCTCTTCAGGGCATTGGGTTCCCTTAGGCCCTGGGCAGGTCCAGAGGTGCTGTCCAGGAGCCACGTACTGGAACCAAAATCCTTAGAAATATACCTGGTGTTCTATTCTACTGCAGCTGAGCTGGCACTCAAACCATGAGTCCCAGCTCTTCCCACTCTTTCGTCCCGTTTCCACAGGCAGCCCATGGCTACCACCACCTGGATATTACTTGGATATTGCTGCTGGTTATTCAGGACCCAGGAGCTCTTTAGCCAGCAGGTGATGGATCCTGATAGCACTGGGTCCTTCCTTTCAAAGCAGTGGGTTCCCTTTTGGCCCTGGGTGTGTCTGGAAATGTCATCCAGGAGGAAGGACCTGAAATGGGGACTTCACAACTCTGACTAGTGCCCTATCCTACTTTGGGTGAGCTGGTACCCAAGATGTAAGACAAAGTTCTCTTTACTCTTTACTCTTCCCTCCCCTCTCCTCAAGCAGAATGGAGGGATCTCTTTTGGAGCCAAGAGCTGTGCTGCCTGGGGTTGGGGAAGGACTGGTGCAAACACTCCTTTAGCTGTGTTGGGTGGTGTCTCAGTAGGTCGCATGCTCCCCAAGCCCACTGGCTTCGAGCCCAGCTCAGCACTAGGACTTGCCTAAGAGTTACAGTCCTTGTGGTATAGACTGCCTTTTAGGTTTATTTATGGCCCCAGAGCACTTTAGCCCATGGTGGTGAGGCTTGCTGGAACTCAGATTCCCCCCACGGGGACAGCGGTTCCCCTCCAGCTTGGGCCCATCTGAATGCTCCCTCCCTGGGCGTTCATCAGTTGAGTTCAGTCTGGTTTTGCTTTCTACTGTGACAGGGCAGTGCTGAGTTCAGTGTAAAGTCTCATAATCACTGTGCTGTCTCTCCTGAGTGCACAGGTTCTTGCTCTGTGCCACATGGCCGCTGTTGGGCGATGGAGGAAGTGGGGCACTGGCAATTCAGGACTCTCCTTGCTACCTTCCTTGGTGCCTCTTTCAGTGATAGAATTAAAACCAGGGACTGTGAGTGCTCACCTGATTGTTGGTTTTATAAAGATGCTGTCTTTATGTGGATAGCTGTTGAATTTGGCATTCCTGCTGTGGGGACAATCAGTGGAGCCTTGTAGTCAGCCATTTTGCTCCACCCCTCCCCCAGACTAGCAGTCTTGATCACCTTAATTCCACTTCATGAATTGAGATAATTTGTTGCTGAGTTTTAGTCGACTTCCATCACCCTTAGTCCTAGGGTACAGTTCTTTGAGATCTCAGCCCCAAAATGGAGGGAATTATTAGGCCCTCATTGATGAGTCCTAGACTCCAGTTTTTGCCTCCTAGTTTCTTGAAACTGAGAAGTGCTGCTCAGCTTTTCAGCTTCTTCAGCCTCTTTTGAAATAGAGTAGTGAGAGTCGATACCAAAATATTCAGTGCTTTCAATAGTGTGATAAAGGATATTGACTTAATCTCCAGTCAGGAGGCTTGTACTTCATTAAAAGTGGCCTCTAGGAGTGCTCTGAAGTTCATAAGAGCATCATAATCATACTGTGTCTGGCCCCTCTAGATGACCAGATAAATCATGGTAATTTTTTTTAAAAAATGGTAGAATCATCTAAGAGTGCTTTATAAGCTACAGCTTATAAGTTCCATTGGCTCTTTCCTCTGCTTTAGAACATACGAAGACATGTTGCTACATGTGTGTTGTAACTAGGGGTGGGGATGCCCGCATTTTGTGAGTGAAGGTAACTTATAGCAGGGCCCCTGTGCAGGCCCTCTCATTCTGCTAGACTAAATTCAGAACCAAGTGTCACCAGGAACAGAAGGAACAACAAAAATAACTACTATAGATTAAGGCTGCAAGGTAGTTGATTTGACTCAAGTTTCCAACAGAGCCCTTGAGATGGACAAAGGTGCTGGTGCCGGCGTCCTCTGCAGCCCGAGCAGTAAGGCTAGAGGTGAACAAGTTGTCACCGCAGGCTTTTCTGAAGGAAAGAGGCAGACAGTTCCCCTTCTCTCCAGCTCTATATCCCTGCCACCTTCTCCCCAGGGCTTCCTGGTCTTGATCTACCTTATCTACAGCACAGTTTCAAGATGGCCGTCCAAATGCCTGGAGTTTTCCAGGGCAGTCCCACATTGCATTCGTTTTGGCTTTCGTCCATTGAAATGTGAAATTCTAGTATTTTGACAACCAATCTACCTTAAAACATTTTGTTATAAAAGGTACATAATGTATGCTTTACCATTCTAACCATTTTAAAATAGAAAGCTCAGTGGCATTAAGTACATTCGCATTGTTCTTCAGCCGTCACCACCATCCATTTTTCAGATGTTTTCATCTTCCCAAACTGAAACTATATACTATTGAACAATGACCCCTGCTCCACCGTGGGAACCACCACTCCACTTTCTGTCTCTGTGAATTTGACTACTCTCCGCATCTTGTATAAGTGGAATCACACGTTATTTGTCTCTCTCTGTCTGGTTGATTTCACTTAGCATCATGTCTTCAGGGTTCATCCATGGGCAAATGTTCAGCATGTGTCAGAATTTCATTCCTTTCTAAGACTCAATGACACTCTATGGTATGTCTGTATCCGCTTTTGTTTATCCATTCATCTGCCAGTAGACATGTAGATCATTATTACTGTCATTTGGCTATTGTGAATAGTGTTGCTATGAACACTGATACACAGGTATCTATTCAAGTCCCTGCCTTCGGTTCTTTGGGTTGTGTACTCAGAGGTGAAGTTGCTGGATCACATGTTAATAGTGATCCTGGGTTTCCTTTTTTTGAGGAGCTGCCATACTGTTTTTCTACGCCAGCTGCACCATTTTACCTTCCCACTAGCCACGTGCAAGGCTTCCAGGTTCTCCACATCCTTGTCAACCGTTGTGATTTTCTGTTTTGTGTTTGTTTGTTTGTTTGTTTGTTTGTTTTGGAAATAGCCATCCTGATAGGTGTGAAATTGTGTCTCATTGTGGTTTTGATTGGCATTTCCCTAATGATTAATCAAACTACCTTTTGTTTTGCCAGACTTGACATCTAACCTACTTTTTGTATCTGGAATTAGGATAAAACTCCTTTGTTAGAAAACATATGGATTTTTGGTTAAAAAGATAAGCACCATCAAAATCCACCTGAGGGATGGCTGAATTACTAGAGTCTGTGTGTTGAGTCTTCAGGGTATGTGGTAGGTGAAGGCTCTGGTCTGAGGCCTAGCAGGCCCAGCTCAAGGCATGTGCACAGGGAACATTGTAACCCCTCCCCATCTCAAGGCACAGTGAAATCCACTGCAAATACAATGGCTAGTGCCTTTTTACTATGGGGGAAAATTTGACATTCATTTCCAAGAGGTGCCATCTTTCATCTCAATGTGTTTCATGGGTCATGTGATCTCCGATTACTAAGGTGACACTTAGGACAATTTTATGGCAAATTGAGTCCCAAATTACAGCCCCTGAAGGGGTACGCATTAATAATGGCCTGTAAGAGCATCAGTAGGGGGCCTGAGCCAGGTTCCAGTGCAATCAGATGCAGTCACTAATGCAGCATTTCAGCAAGACCAAGAGGAATGTATTGTTAAAGACACACGTGCTGATCTTCTCTTTTCAAGAAAGGAGTACTCAAATTATCATAGACACCCACTGGATTGTAGAATAATGAAGACAGAATTATTTTTGCATGAATTGGGATTTCCTTGTGGCTGAGTTAAGCAGCATGACCCACTGTGAGTGAATTGGATGACTTTTCTTTCTAAGCATCAACCACTTTGTTTTATTTCTCCTTTAGGCATTTCTAGGCATTTTACTTTTCCGATGTGAGGAGTCAATGCCTCTAGCACAAGACAATGTGAGAAAGCCTGGCTGGGTCATTAATAAGCAAAACCTGGGAAAAAAAAGAAAAACAGCATCACCCATAGAATACTTTTCGTCCTGAGAGATTTCACAATTGGAATGCATCTGTGTGTGGTAATGTGCTGAGTTTTATAAGATGCTATCAAGGCAGGTTTTCCTACCTTTTGAGAATCTACTCTAGAAACCAGATATTGATGTTGATGTTCGTGTGGCTGCACATGCATGTATGATCATGAATGTGAATAAAAATAAGAGTTAGACAAGAAAATGGTGTTCTCTCAAGTGACAAGCAACATGACCCTAGGATTTAGGTAGCTTCTCCATACATTTAATATTAAATGGTTACTGGATTCTTATTAGCTTTCAGGAACATTGACTGATCACACTGCAAATATGTGTAAAAACCATTCTCTGAGATTTTACTCTGTTGAGTTTGTACTTTCTATATGTGGAGTATGCATTTCTAATCAATATAAAAGAGTAAACATTATTCTATTCTTTGCTATTCTGGTTTTCTTTAAGGGCTTCAGATTCCCTATTATGGGAATTCATTCCCCACTGAAAATACAGTGAATATCTACCCAGTGCAAGACCCTTTGCTAGGTACTAAGGAAACAGACATTGTCTCTGCCCAGTCAGAACTTACCATCTAGCCATGAAGACATATCTGAGCATGTCTTCCATCCTCCTTTTTCCTCCCTATCTTCCCATTACAGCTATGTTCCTCCTCCTCCTTCCTTGACCTCCCCTTCCTCCCTCCTCTTTTCTCTCCTCCCTCCTCTCTCCTTTTTGGCTTTTTTTTTTTTTTTTTTTTTTTTTTTTGAGACTAGGTCTCACTGTGTTGCCCAGGCTGGAGGGCAGTGGCCATTCTGCAGCCAGGAACTCCGGGGCTCAAGCAATCCTCCCATATCAGCCTCCCAAGTTGCTGGGACTACAGTTGTGTGCCACCACAGCTGGCTAATTTTTAAAATTTTGTGTAGAGATGGAGTCTTGCTCTGTTGCTCAGGCTGATCTCAAACTCCTGGCCTCCATCAATCCTCCCACCTTGGCTTCCCAAAGTGCTGGGATTACAAGTGTGAACCACCAGGCCCAGCCAGCATTTCTTCTTCTGCACAGCTTGGCACTTAGTCATTCCCCAGGAAATTTATCACATCAAAATAGTTGCTTCTTTCTTTATCTTTCTCCCCCACTAGACTCCACATCCCTGGAGGAAGGGGCCTGGGTTTCTTCCCTCTCTGTTGCTTCAGCTGCTGACACCATGCTCGGCTCATTGCAGGTCATCATTGGATGAATGTGCCTGAAGAACCGTGCGCCAGACATTGTGTTGGGCTGAGTGGAGAGTGGTCCTGCCCTGGAAGAGCTCTCAGGCCAATAGGGAGAGAAAGATGGTACAATAGACCATGGAAGGGAGAGCAATCATTAGTGAGGCAGAATAAGCTTGAGGGATTGAGGGCGCTCACAGAAGGGGCAGCTTTCAAAGTTGGATCACCCTCCTTTAAGCTGGGTTGCTGTACTCTTGGGCTTTGCCAGCAGTGCCTTGCCAGGTGCAGGCCTTCAGGAAATGTTTGCTGGACTATACACTCCGTTGGGTAAAGGTTTGGACCTTCTCTGTCTCACTTGCTATTGTCTCTCCACTTCCAGCACCACAGCTGACACATTGTGGTAGCCAATAAATATTTGTGCAATGAATACATGAATGAAGCAATGACCAAGTCCTCCTCCCTGTTTTTTCCAAATGCCTTTCTCACTTTCCCTCTCACTTTCTGACTTGCCCTTGTCCAAAGGTATGAGCTAATGCTTACCTCAATGGGGTGGTGCTGAAGATCAAAGGCAACAATACAGTCTCTATAAACTTGAGTTACTATTCTCTGCCTCTTCCCTGGCAAGGGGGATGTTGGGGAAGCTGGGCTGGGCTGACCTGGTTGGAGTTCAGATGCCCTCAGGAATTATTTATGCTCCTGCCAATGCAAAAAAGCCTTCCCATTTTACCATTCTTTAGAAGTTTTGTAGGTTTTAAAAAAGACCTTAGAGATTTCCTTCTTTGCAACTGGAAAAGAATAATTCAGGTGCAGTAATTAGGGTTAACACAGTCAGTGTTGACGTGGAGGGACCTAATGAGGTTCTTTCCTTTTTTCTCATTGGACTCTCCCAAAGGGAGTGCTTACTGCAGAAACAGGAAGCCCACAGTGATGGAGGGTCGGTGGCCTGTGTTAGTCAGGGTCCTCCAGAGAAATAGCCAAAAGGATGTGTGTATGTGCAGAAAGAGGAAGCTGGATTCCGTGCATATCCACGGATTTACACGGGAGTAGGGAGGGTGGCTGAATCATGCTTAAATACTAGACGGGCTGTCACCGACCCAGGCTCTGGAGGCTGCTTCTGGAGGCTGCTGGGAGGGGCCCCCTGTGCCTGAGTGACGTCAAATGCACCTGCAGGGAAAGAGCACCTTCCTTCCCTCAGGACTCCCCTGAGCAGAAATTTCTTAGTCATTTGTCGCGGTTTAGGAGCACAGCTGCCTGGAGACAGGGCAAGGCTGGCTGGCCTCAAGAGGTGGTGCACAAGCCCTGAGGTTTTTCAGCTGCTCCCTTCTCTGAGCTGCTGCTGCCCTCACCGTCTAAACTACTTATTCTGGCTTCGGCAACACACCCATCAAATTCATGTGATGCTAATAAAGCGGGACAAGGAAAGGAGCAGGAGGAGGTCAATGGCAATATTCTCTATGCCTGGCTTCCCAAACACATCCACCGGAGAGAAGGGGCTGGTTGCGAATTGAGGGTGTTGGTAAACCTGGTTTATGTTTTCAGGCTTCCGAAAAGGAAACTGGTGGGGCAGGAACCCCAGGACTTGAGCAAAATTGTGATGAGGGTTAAATCTGTCTCGTCTCAGCGTCTGACCCCTGCTGGTCTCCAGCCTCCTCTCGACCACTTAGAAACCCAGGCCTCAGCTTGCCTACTGCCCACTCAAGGCAGTAGATGGAGTTGTTTGTTTTTTTCTTGTAATTTTGTTTAAGTTCTTTGTAGATTCTTGATATTAGCCCTAATATCAATTTCCCTCAGTCGGAAATGCAGAAATCACCCGCCTTCTGTGTCGATCTCGCTGGGAGCTGCAGACCAGAGCTGTTCCTAATATGCCATCTTGCCAAAGTTTTATACATATTGCAGAACTCTCCCCTGAGACTTATTGGGAATTAATTATTAAACAAACCACATGAAAGTAAGATTTAGGGATAGTGTGATGTATAGCCCAACCTACTTCTAATAGATGGAAGCCACTGATATTTTTAAAAGAATGGGGCCAGGCGTGGTGGCTCACACCTGTAATCCCAGCACTTTAGGAGCTGGGTGGATCACCTGAGGTCAGGAGTTTAAGACCAGTCTGGCCAACATGGCTAAACCCCATCTCTACAAAAAATATAAAAATTAGCTGGGCATGGTGATGGTTGCCTGAAATCCCAGCTACTCAGGAGGCTGAGGCACAAGAATCACTTGAATCCAGGAGGCAGAGGCTGCAGTGAGCCAAGATTGTGCCACTGCACTCCAGCCTGGGCAACAGAGAGAGACTCTGTCTCGGAAAGAAAGAAAATGAATAGGGCTAGATGCAGTGGCTTTCCAGCCTTTCAGGAGGCCAAGGAGGGATGATTGCTTGAGGCCATGAGTTTGAGACCAGCCTGGGCAACATAGCAAGACCCCATCTCTACCAAAAATTTTTTTAAAAAATTAGAGAGGTGTGGTGGTTCGTGCCTGTAGTCCCAGCTACCTGTGAGGCTGAGGCAGGAGGATCGCTGGAGCCCAGGAGTTTGAGACTGCAGTGAGCTATGATTGTGCCACTGCACTCTAGTCTGGGCAACAGAGCAAGACCCTGTCTCCAAAAAACAACATGAGAGAATGAGGCAGGTGCTGAATGAAGAAACTGTGTAGCGGGCACAGTCTAGGAAAGAAGTAAAGGCTGCCTGAGGAATCTTGTTGTAATTATCAAAACAAGTGTATGTTATCCCAGGACCTTACGTCTGTTGAGCACTTACCAGATTATGACCTGGTTCTACACACAGCATCTTCTTTCATCCTCAGAACAAACCCAGGGGAAACTAGGCAGGACAGATTGGGCTTCACTTCTCTTACACAGATGAGGAGATGGAGCCTGGAGACGCACTGAGACTCCCTCAAAGTCAACTGCAAGTTGCAGTTTCACACGAGCACCCAGGCTTCATGGCCCCTCAGCTAAGAGTTCTCAGCAAGGGCTGAGATGGATGTCAGAATCCCCAGAAAAGTGTTTCCAGTGTATGGATATCTATACTGTGTATAAAATGCCATTCCCTTCAATAGCTTTGGCTGTCGAAACCCTCTGAATCTTAACCTGATTTTGTGCCCAGCATTGTGTTAAACACAGGGAGCCATAAAAAGAGCTCCTACCCTCCTGATGCCTATTTTTTTAAATTTATTTTTTATTTTTTATTTTTTGAGATAGAGTCTTGCTCTGTCGCCCAGGCTGGAGTGCAGTGGTGCGATCTCGGCTCACTGCAAGCTCCGCCTCCTGGGTTCACGCCATTCTCCTCCCTCAGCCTCCAAGTAGCTGGGACTACAGGCACCCGCCACCACACCCAGCTAAGTTTTTGTATTTTTAGTAGAGACGGGGTTTCACTGTGTTAGCCAGGATGGTCTCAATCTCCTGACCTTGTGATCTGCCCACCTCGGCCTCCCAAAGTGCCGGGATTACAGGCGTGAGCCTGATGCCTAATATTTAAGGACAGATAAACACGTCCTACTTTAAAATATGATGAAGTGTATACTAAGAACTTGGCACATCTTACAACAGGAACACTGTCCCATGTTGGAGTTTTTTTTTTTTGTTTGTTTGTTTGTTTGTTTGAGACTTAGTCTTGCTCTTTGCCCAGGGTGTAGTGCAGTGGTGCAATCTCGGCTCACTGCAATATCCACCTCCCGGGTTCAAGCAATTTTTGTGCCTCAGCCTCCCAAGTAGCTGGGATTACCGGCACGCGCCATCATGCCTAGCTAATTTTTGTATTTTTTGTAGAGAGGGGGTTTCACCACGTTGGCCAGGCTGGTCTAGAACTCCTGACCTCAAGTGATCCCCCCGCCTCGGCCTCTCAAAGTGCTGGGATTACAGGCGTGAGCTACCGTGCCTGGCCAGAGTTTTTTAATGTATATTTGTAGAATGAATAAATAAGTGAATCAATGAAATAAAAGTTAAGAGAGGAAGAGATGACTCCATCTGGGGCTATCAGGGAAGGCTTCTAATCATCATTGAGGTTGGACGGTTTAAAGCACAGCCACCCTCAATGTGTGTAACATGCCTTGTAATCTTTTATTCCTCTTGTTATAGCTATTTTACTTCCAGGAATTTATCCCTACGGACTTGTCAGGTTAACAAAAAAGATTTATATTCAATATGTGTTGATTTATGTTCAACAGTGTAACTGATAATTGTGAAAAAGTGGAAGCAATCTTATGGTCCAAGAGCAGGGAATAGTAGCCGTGCATAAATGAGAGTCGGTCGATCTATGTGATGGAATATTCTGCAATGTTAAAAGCCATGTTGTCAGAGCACATGTGCCAATTGGGGAAACAAATATACATGGTAGGATTATTAAAGGGGAAAAGGGTTCCAAAAGGACCATATCCAGGATAATCCAAAATTTGTAATAGCGCACGTGCCTCTGTGTGTGTGTGTGTGTGTGTGTGTGTGTGTGTGTGTGTGTGTGTGTATCTATTAAATAACAGTGGTTCTCTCTGGGGTGAGATGAAGGTAATTTTTTATTTTCAATTTCCATATTTTCAAAGTGCAGTTTTAAAAAGCAGCGGCCTTTCTCTCACTGGGCCATCAGGGACTTTGGGGGTTTGTAGATCTTTGTGGTCTATAAAGCTCTTTTTTTTGAGTTTTTCTTCTGAGCACACAAAAGGTGTGTAATATGTATCAGCACCCCAGAACCTGCTGGAGAGGGGAGAGCACAGAGGATGGGCTGAGCGGGGCAATGTAACAATTTTAAAATGAAAAAGAAAGGACGTGCTGCTTACCGTGCATGCAGGTGGACCCCAAAGTAGCTTCCTCAGGTGGCAGCGGGGTGGCTGCCCAGGGGACAGTCCCCTCCTCCTCAGCTGGCTGGATGCTCACAGCGCGCCCTTCCTGAGCTCTTGGCAAATGCACGTGTTAACCCGCTGCGGGGAGGAAGCTGGAAGTGCCGGGGAGTAGGGGAGTGAGGGAGGGCTGGACTTCCGCAGGAGAAATAAAGCGACTTGCAGTGACACTGGCTGTCCCCCTTCCCTCCCCGCCTCGCTGCCCTCTCAGCCTCCTGCTTAAGGAGACTCTTCTGGAGGTGAGGCCTGGACAAGGGCCCAAATTCTAGGAAAAGGGGCCCCTGAGGAGGGTTTGCCCTGCATGGAGGGGAGCACGTTTGCGTGTTTGTAGCAGCGTTTCTGTGTGCCGGCCCGGCTCGCCAACCTCACTGAGTTCTGGGAGCCTGGAACCTGTTTCATTCACTGCAACCAGCACGGTGTCTGGGACAGTGCGAGTGCTGCTCAGTGAGGGTTTGCTCGACGATTGTTTTATACATGTTGAGACGGAATCCACGAGCTTGAACACGACTCTTTTTCATCTCTTAGAAACATGCTTTAGGAGGCCTGAAAGCCAAGGCTGCTCCGTGGCTGTGGAGGTCAAGGCTGTGTGCGTAAGAAGCCCAGGGCGTGGGTCTGGCCTTGTGTGGGCCTGGTGCTCCTTCTCCACTGGGAATTAGGGATTAATCCCAGTAGGGGTTTGCAAATGCAGACCTTTGGTCCACTTGTCACGGGACTCTGAAATGCTGCAGGCCCCTGCCCAGGTTTTTGTTGTTGCCTCTTCCCCCAAAGTTGAATAATTGATTGATTCATTCATTCAGCTAATATTGGTTGAGCACCCACTATGTTCCATGTTCTGTTCTAGCCACTGGAGTTATAGAACAAGAGATATCCATGGGTGTTAGGAGCACTGCAGCCACTGGCAGGTCAATGCATTTACACTCCAAGTGCTCTGTAGATTTATAAGGGTTTTCTAGAAACAACACCTTCAGCTAGAAAAACAAGTGGAAGCATCAGACACTGCAACAGGTCCTGCATAGATGCGGAGGCATTTTCTCCATCCAGGTGCAGCCATAGCCTGATCTGCCATTGCTGGACAATGACATCACCTTGCTTTCTTTTCTATGACCTTCTAGTCCCAGGGGCGTCTGGCCAAATGCAGCATGGTGCCAAGGTAGGCAGAATGGCCACTGTCCTCCCTGAGACAAAGAGACAGGATCAAAAAGGATGGAAAGAATAAAAGTAAGAACAGTTTGGATAGTTTAATGGTTTGAGGGACAGATCCACCTAAGATTGTATATTTGGATAGTTTTTTTCCTAATGAAAAGTTACTTCTGATGACCACACAATACATATCCTTCCCAGAGACGAGAGGTGCTGATGTGAATTGGGACAAGATGTATTATAGGCTACGACAGGCCAGCAGAGCACTGAGAAGGTCTTTAATTGGGAGGAGTGAGGGCATTAGAAACAATTCTATAATAGAGGCTGCCTTTCCATCGTCTCCTCCCCAAGGGAATGATCAGTTTGGCACCACCTCTACCTTCTCTTCTAGTTGAAGGCATTATGTTTAGAAAACCCTTACGGCTTCTGCTCGGTTTACCCAAAGGGAGCCCAAGAAGGTCTTGGCTAGGATTTGGGGAGAAGAAAAGCAGGGAGCCTTGGAGGTGTGCATGTCCAGGCAAGCGTGGTGCAGTAGGAGACAGGGACTCAGAGAGGGATCTTGCCAGGAGTGAAGAGTATGTATTTGCTTTGAGTGGCCATCCTGCCCTATCTCCTGGGGGTGTGGAGCACTCAGTTGATTGGATGAATGTGGCACCAGCATCTAGGAAAGTCCCTCATTACTGTTCAGAGGGAAATGTCTGCAGTGGAGGGAGACTGTCCTCAAGGGAAGGGGCTACCCTGAGAGACCTTTTTCTAGTTCTGATCTGTTTTTGCCTTCTTGCCTGAATGTGCCCAGTTATAACTGAGACCAAGCACCAGTGTAACAGAGGCCCATGCATCCAGGCCCGAGCAATCTACAGTGACTGCAAATTCCCTTATTTTGTGTAAGCCCCAGAAACACTGGACTGAGGGAGGGCAACAGAAAATATCCCATTATCAACACAAGCTTCTCCACACTTTCCCCAGCGTCTGGCTCTCAGGTGTGCAGAACAAGTCCAGGGACTCTGGGACTTAGCTGACACCTCTACTCACTCCTGGCTGAGCTGCTGAACTTGTTGGGGGCCAGCTCCACAGGGCGACTAGACAGGCCTCATCCCATGAGGTCCTGAGAGGCCTGGGGGCTAGACTTGGGCCAAGGTGTTGCTGCCGTGAGAAGCACCCACCCCTAGCTCTTGAATTGCTTTCCCCCGAGGTACAGAAGGAGAAGCTGGATAGAGGAATTCACAACTCTGGGTAGAATAAAAGTGAACATTTAATGCCACCATAGTTTGATTTTTTTTTAAACACCAGATTCTTTTTTGACAACATTTTACACCTCATATGCCACAAAAAGTCAGAGATCGTAGCCAGCAAACAATGTCTTTACACTGGAAAATGCCACACAGCTTAATGGATTCATGTCACCAGTTTGTGAGAACTATAACTCTTTTTTTCTGGACTGTTCTCCAGGGAGCCTGCTCATATTTATCATAATCAAGCCAACACCTAACGTTTATATAGCTTGCAAAGGCCCATGCACAAAACTAGCCTGCCAAGGGGCTGCTGGGACCTGCCCAAGTACAGAAGAGTTGAATTTCTGACTTTAACAAATGAGTTTTATTGAAGCATTTTAACAGCAAACACTTGTGAACTAATAATGTTTTGAATGGCCCCAGTCTTCCATCTGGTTAAACAGTGGATTTCAGACAGTAACATTAAGCACTACCATTGAATTGTAAAACAAGATTTTATGAACTTATTTAGGAATTCACTGTTTCTGGCACAATAAATGCACCTGGGCAGACCTTGTCTCCACTTTTCAAATGGGCCCATTTCTACAGATAAGCATATTTATATACACATACATACATTACTAATCATGGAATTAGAGATCCAGAGCTTGAAGGAACCACAAAGATCATCTAGCACAATGTCTTCATTTTATAGGTTAGAAAACTGAGTTCTGGAGGAGTTAGGTAATATATCACGGACGGGACGACTGGCAAAGCTGGAATTAGAACTCAGGTTTTCTGTCCTATGGAATATATCACGGACAGGATGACTGGCAAAGCTGGAATTAGAACTCAGGTTTTCTGTCCTATGGAATATATCACGGACGGGACGACTGGCAAAGCTGGAATTAGAACTCAGGTTTTCTGTCCTATGGCCTTTCACCATGTCAGGTACCTCCTGTACACACACATCCGTGTATGTACACACACCTTAGAGGAATGGTATGTGTTCATGTCTACACATACCTGGTGCAATATGATCTGATGGGAAGAATCCAATAAGCTGGACTCAAGTCCCTGTTTTGCTATAAAACCACTCTGTGAACTCGGGCCAGTCAATGACTAGACTTCAGTTTCTTCATCTGTAAATGATTACCCCCAGCTCCTAGACAGACCTTTAATTTCTTCAAAGCACTTCCCATCACTTATACCACTTTCTCTTGATGCTCTCCCAGAAGGGCAGCTGTTCTGACCCCCAGTCTTCCACTCGGGAACCTGAGGCCCAGCAAAGCGAAGAGGCTCGCCCAAGGTTGCACAGCTAGTAACAACCAGGCCTGGCGGCCCATGTCCTTGCTCCTAGCTCAAGGCCTAGCCCCTCCCTGCCTCTCGGGACCCAGTGAGGGGACAAAATGCCTTAAGATTGTAAGACTCACTAAAGTACTTTGGTTTTTCCAGAGGAAAAAAACAGGTACTATATATATCCAAGCTAAGGAACTCCAATTGCTTTCCCAAACCCTCTTCAGTAGCACTAGGGGTTGGATGGGAGTCTTAGGGAAATGTAGGGAACTAATACTATCAGCACTTTCCTCAGGAATTGAATGTTGAACCATTAGGAAGAGGCTGAGTCCTCTTCCGTGCAAGCCGGTGGGCGTGGATTTCCAAGCCCATTCTCATCAAATTCAAAACGAAGGGATCTTTCCCATTTGGCTGCTTACTACAGAAACAGCTTAGATTTTGAACTAAGCCCTGTGCATTGAGGATTGGACCCTAATCCCTATTCTCTTGCTTTATCTGTCCTCTCCCCATCCCCCAGCCCATGTTTCCACTAACAGACTTTGCTTGAGTGAGAAAAACATGGAAAAAAATAGCCACAGACAGATCCAGCAAATCTCCACCTCGATGCACGGCACGTGGATAGCATTTCCAACCGTGATGCATAATAAGTAAATGAGAGAACACGAGCAATGCTGTAAAGCAACATCCTGAGTTCACAA
Organism: Homo sapiens; assembly: GCF_000001405.40. Taxonomy (NCBI): domain Eukaryota; kingdom Metazoa; phylum Chordata; class Mammalia; order Primates; family Hominidae; genus Homo; species Homo sapiens. The sequence goes on along the minus strand of NC_000001.11, from coordinate 245,707,461 downwards.
ATAAATTAGAACTTCTTCATAAATCAAATATTACAATGTGGGCTGTTAGCAGGATAGGGAATGAAAGAAGGAACCTTTTTTAGTGTTGAAGGTAATTTCTAGGTACGCATGGAATAGATGTGTGAGTGTGGTATTTCAGTACTCGCCTCCACACGTGTGGACCTTGGGAACAACTATGCTTAGAGATTAAGGTTTGTATGCAATGAAGGCTTGATACTGCCCCAAGCCGCACTGTGTCCAGTGTTATGACATTGCTGCAGGTTCTGGGTAGGGCCACCCAAAAGCAGAATGTGTTTGTTTAGGGAGGGATAAATTAGTTTCCAGGAATTTTCAGAAAAAATTTTTTTGAGAAGATGAGCTTAAATGACAGTATCTTCTCCCGGATTAGAATTACGCTTGCATTATGATGGAAATAATGAACAGGTTGTAATTTTAAAATGTGTCATTTTGTCAGGAAGATTACTAAGTGATGCACTTTATAAGCTGTTACCCACCAATGTTGACAGATACTTTCTGGAGGTGGAAAAAGAGGTATCAGAATCCAAAGAAACACTGCCCCCACCAAAATTTGAGACCCATTTACTTGCATCAGTGACACTGAACACCCAGCTTTGTTTCATTTGGTGCAGAGAAAAGTGGGCTGTGTGCCTTTCCTCCCTGCCCAGACTCCCGTGTGGTGGCATTGAAGAGTGTCCTTCATGGGGGGACAGCTGGGCCACATACCCCGGCGGCAGCATGGAGGCCCCAGGGACAGTGGCAGCAGACGGCTTAGCCTCAACTAATAGCAAACAGGACTTTCAACCTCTTTCTCACTGGCAAGTTTTCAGGGTTTAAGACGTATTGTCTTTAGAAGCGAGGGACTCTGTGTGTGCTCCAAGAATGGGTTACTAGTCCAGCAGGAAAGAACAATGAGTACAGGCAGGACTCCTTCCTTTTTTAGTTTGGAAATTAACTCATCTTTAGTCATTTTACAGTCTAAAATCCTTTTTGGAATAAGAAACCTAAAAAACCTAAAAACACTCAATATAATCAGCAGTGGCCAATGATATAGACGGCTGTGTTTGCATTGAACAAATCTGCAGATTTGTCAGCCTTGCCTTCTATCCAAAGAAGGTGGCTGGTTTACAAGGACATGAGATACACACCCAAGTGGGCACAACTGCATTTTTGGTCAATACAAACAGAACTCTGAGATTTTATCAGAAAGTCTGAGCAGCAAGCGTGAGACTTGTAGGTGCGTATAAGACTTTTTGAACCTCCACCCTGGATGGTAGATGCGGCTGGACTGAAGTCACTACCGCCTTATAAGAACATAATAGACTTCAAGTTGAAGGCTAATTTATGACAAACCAGGCCAGATTCCTGCCTGTCTAATTCCCCACGCTGCGATGCCTGGCTGTTTACCCCAGCTTCTCATGAGAGGAGCCCCTTCTCCAGCTCAGGGGTTCCCACCTTTGTCAAGACAGGACACATCTCTGCATTTGCATCTTAATGCTCCCCCATGTTAAGAATGGCAACTGGCGAATAAACAACGGGCAGAGTGTTCTGATTCCAAATCCGGAAGAGATGAAAGAGACAGCTTCCTCGTGATGTAGAGGGGAATTCAAGGACAACAAGATCAAAGTTTGCAGCTCGCAGGTGGGAACTGAAAGCCCATGATAAAGCAAACTCTCGCTCCTCAGCACCACCGTGCAATGCGACGTGGAGTGACTCCCAGGGACACAATAGCACCACCGCCCGTTCTTAGATCTTAGTTTTGCTCCGCTGCTAATGCTTCCACCTCACATATTTGGAGCAGGGGGTGAGGAGGACAGGTTCACACAAGGAGTTAGACCTATGCATCTAAATGTTAATTTCAAATATTTTTTTCTAGTCCTTTCGCTTGTGGGTAATGAAATAGAAATGGGTTCGTTGATATTCCCCCTTGCCTCCTTGGGTTCTCTATCACCAAAACCAAGGGGAGACCTGGAACTATCATGTCTGGCCACTGGGTAAGGCATCCTCCCGTGACTGGGACTGCTTCAGAATGGTCAGCCGGAACTCCTTCCTTCATCATCAATACAGTCAATTTATAGGCAGAGACAGGAACAAGCACATCATAACGTAAAATGCCTGATTTCTTCATGTGGTTTATCAATATTGGTAAATTAACATGTTTGCAGCTTATTTAGGTCAAAAAAAAGCAAAGAGAAGAGAGAGAGAATGGACAACATCAACATAAAGCATTCTCCTTCACCGTGGCCTGCGAGATCCTGCGAGGTGTTCTGTGATTGCCATCTTGGGAAGGAGTCTGACTTGCTAAGAGAACTCTTGGTTTCCTTCCGCCTTTTGTTACAGCATAAAGTTGCTACAAATGGATAAAAGCAGATTTAGGCAGGAGGCAAGCCGAATGCCACTCCCCTCGGAAGGATTCCATCGGTTTCAGTCCAGGAAGGGCACCAGGCTCTGTCACTGGCTAAAGGAAGGCAGTGCAGCATGGAAGGAACCTCAGGGGAGGATGTGGCAGGGGCGAAAGCCAAACTCATCGATGACTCATCAGATGAGTTTCTTTCCAACAAAAACAGAATATTCACCTTTGAAAATCTCCAATTAAAGACTTTTCATGAACTATATGTTTGAAACCAGCAACCAGCAGCCCAATGGCAAACTCGAAGGATTGGCTTCCCTTTGGGTCCAGAAGCCTCCAAGGATATTACTGTTAAGCAAGCCCACTTACACAAGTGCTTTGAGGCCAGAGGCGAGCCCAGAGCATGCGACTGTCCTGCAGAATGGGGTCAAGGTTAAGGAGCTCAGGGAGGTCCTGCTTCCCAGGGCAACACACTTGTCAGACTTGGGAGATACACAGAAGGAAGAACGAGCCATGCCAGAGCAGCCTCTCACTGTAGTTTAGCCTGTTCAGCCAGCAGATTTGGGCATGTCTCCTGTTTGCACCTTTGCATAGAAGCAGACTCTTATGGAAAGTGCAAAGCCAGACTCGTGACCCAGGGAGCTGGCTTCCAAAGCACATGAGCCAACAGGGCCACCTGAACCCTGTTCTGATAACAAAGGATCAGGTCATGTGAAGCTCACAAGACTTCGGTTCCCATTTACCGAGTTCAGCCAGCTGTGTGGGCTGCAGTGTCCAGAGGTACACTGACCAAGAAACGTAGTGTTTTTTTCCCCGCTTGGGGAGTGGCTGGGGCTGAGTTGTTGGTTAATAAAGACAGCCTAGCTTGGAAATAAATAGGCTCATGAAGATATGCTGCATTTGAGGGCAAAAGGGAAGCGTGCTCTGCACACGCCTAAGTACCATCCTCGATGCGAAGGCTGCAGGGACTCTTAGATTCTGGGCTGCACTATCATCAGCACCACAGCTTTTATCAGGGAAATCCCTTGACCACTCTGTACCCCAGGTTTCTATCAATCACTAAAATGGGTATCATAATTCCTAAGGGAATTGTTATAGGGAGGAACATCTGAATTTGAGGTCCTGAGTTGTTGGGAGCCAAGACCTGGACATCCATAGTCTTCAGCTATGTTCTGCCTATCCAGGGTCGTGTGAGTTATGGAGGGGAAGCTCTCTCTGCCTTTGGGCAGGAGCAAAGACTGAGAGGACAAGCCTGTCCCTTCTTGGCATAGAGGCTTTGGGACACAGGAGAGCTGAAATCCTTGTACTCTGGACAACAGACAAGATGTACAGTCTCAAGAATCCTTCTTCTAATCCAATACAGTTGAAGTCTCTGAACAAGCCTGAGAAGGTCTCTCAGCTGGGGAAAAACCCACTTTAATCAATCTACAACACAACACTAGAAAATACTAAAGAAAGAAATATGGCTCTGGTGAATTGGTTCCAGCTTTCGTTCAAGACTTTTTGGAATAAAAATGAATATGAATTTTGAGGGCCACGCAAACTGTGGATTTGTGGGTCAAGGAACCACATGTGTGGAGGACTTGAGGGGGGCAAACGGTCTACAGAACATACGGCCCACCTCCCAGGAGCAGGGAGGGCCCAGGTCGCAAAGGACTCCTCCTCCCCTGTGCTGCAGGTGCCGTCTCCTCACCTGTTCTCTAAAGCACCTGCCCCACAATCAACCTTCTGGGTCTACCTGACCACGCTGCTTGTTGGGATGTGGCATCGAGGTCACCTGCTGCTCCAAACCTACTTTGGAAACACACACACTGGCTCGTGCCGAGGGAAGTCTCTCTGTTTGAGTGGCCTCACCAGAATAACCATAAAAGACAGGTAATATTTATTCATAAGCAATACTGATTAAGAAATAGCTCTACAAACACAACTTACTTAGAAACAGCAAGTCAGAAATAGGATAAAACACCAAGAGAAAAAGAGCTGTGAATACATTTCCAAAATGTTTTTCTTGTTTGTTTTGTTGTTTTCATCTTGACTAGCACCATCTGTACACAAGAAAGTATGAACATAAATGTTTGGATAATAATAAAGATTTGCAAGGCACTTAATCAGTCATTCTGGGTTGTTTTGTGTTCGCTTTCCACAGCAATCCTACATCCACGCCCCTCCTTTCTCACGAAAGCAAGAGAAGAGTGAGGTCTCTTTTGCTAGCAGTTCTTATGTACAAACAAGGTCTTTAAGGTTCCTCAAAGTGCTTTTTCAGTCTCACAGGGCTTGGACACCCCTCGGGCTTCCCATCCTTTTCTCCTTCCACGGTGTTTGACGTTTGCACCTTTCCTACAGAAAACAAAAGAAAACTCGCCTTCCGCTCAACGCCCGCTCCAGACTTGCCACCAACCTTCATCCTCATTCATTGTCTTTGATGCCCCAGCACAGAGGGCCTAGGGGCGTGCAACATCTCTGAAGTCCTGGGGAGCGGGGGACCACTAGGACAAGGGTCTGGCTCATCTACCGGCGCCTGGAGGTGATGTCGAAGCAGGTGATCATCATGAGATGGGCCTTGCAGAAGTTGACACGGCTCTCCAGGCGCTCCGTCACACACTCCAGTGCCTCCAGGTACTCCAGGGAATCCAGCTCCCAAACCTGCTCCAAGTCAACTGCAAGAGAGGAAGAGCCTGATGGAGACGCAGAGCAAACAGGGTGAGAAGCAACTCCCGACGGCTCAGCCTGGAGCTGCCACCCCCACATCTACCCCTTGGTCTAAAGGTCTAGTTCGCTTGCCTTAGGCCACTGCAGAGTTCCCTCCTGCCTGATTCTCGGCCTCTTTTGGGTTGAAAGGAACACTCTTTACCAGTATTTAGATCCTTAAGGTTTTTTCTGAGATTCTACTGACCAATAAGGTGACATTCTAGCTCCCCCTACCTCCAGCCATGGAGGATCCAGGATGGATCCCAGGATTTGAGAGACGCTACCACACTATTCACTATCAATCAATCAAGTAAATAATTCAAGTTGAGGTGGGGAGAGTCCCTCCCTTTTGGGGGTCTCAGTTGAGTGACATTTATACCTCTGCTTCCTTATATGAAAGGACGTTTCTGGATTATAACCCAGATGCCTTTCCTGATGTTCAGGCCTGCACAGAGTAAAAAGTCTGTATCATTCCAGGCCTGAAGAGCAGGTATCTGGGATCAACCCCTCTGGCATCAAGTCCCCTGCTTTGTCCAGAGGTGGCCGGGCAGAGGGATGGGCTGCCTGGCCCAGGTCCAGGGGTCCAGCAGGCTCCCAGTACGAGGAGGAGAGGCGTGGACAGCAGTCCAAGGTGGTGGGATGGCCCTGGAACCCCAGGCACGAGACAAGCTCTGAAGAGACGAGCTCTGGGACCTCCACCTCTGCTGACAGTGTCTTTAAAGGCATGTGAGAATAGTAACTCCTACGCTGCCTGCCCTGCCTGCCTTGAGTTGCTGTGAAGAATAAAATGAGATAATAATGAACACGAACTTGATTTGAAAACGATGCCGTGCTATGGAAACACTGGGGCTTAGAGTGGCCGCTGTCTGCAGAGTGTCTTCTTTCTGCAGATGAGGTCCCTGAGAGCTGGACAGTGACGTGACTCACTGAGGCTGACACAGTTAACCAGGACTAGAGCTGGAAGGAGACCGAAGGCCCTGAATACCAGTTTAATATTTAAAAACCAAAACAAAAAAGCAAAAGGAGACATCATTCTATGACCACATCAGACTACATTACTGGACAACCTTAAAAGTGGCATCAGAATGAAGAAATAATAGAACTAAAAATGGATCTTTCCATGCCAGTCCCCTGCCTCATGCCCACAGGGAATAGTCAGCAGGCAGCTCATTGATCCTTTTTTTCATTACTGTTTTCAATTCATCTTCAAGAAACAATATATATTTCCCCTTTCATGTAGCTTTCTGTTCATTTTCTTTCTCAGCATCAAAAACACAGTGATTTTTGACATGTACAAAGACTAGAAGGAAGCAATTGTTTCCTGGAAGCATCTAAACACATATGTATTGATGTTTCAGCTTGTTCCCATCCTGGGAAAAATATGACTGACTTTGTAAGATGAAGATAATTTTCAAGTCAAGTCTGCCTTGGGCATAAACAGTTCTTGAAAATAAAATGTTAATGAAAATAGCAAAAATGAAGGAGAGAGAACTGACTGACTGAAAGGAGGCCCCTGGGATCTTGAAGTGGCCAGGGATTCCTGAAACAAGGAAAAGGGTATCCGCAGCGGGGAGGGATAAGCACAGCGCCCCGTGCGCATGTCACGCGCAGACAGTAACCAGCGCCCTCGCCCCTGTCTGCCCTCCCCATTAGCGCCTTCGATGAAAGGCCCTCGCAGGACTAGTTCATGTCTTTCTTTGCTCAAATTTCTAACAGAAGATCCAACTCCTCAGTGCATCATGCAAGCAGACACGAAGGAAATGCCTCCTGTTTTTTATTTTTATTTTTGAGACAGGGTCTGGCGCAATCTCTGGCTCACTGCAACCTCAGCCTCCTGAGTAGCTGAGATTACAGGTGCCCGCCACCACGCCCGGCTAATTTTTGTATTTTTGGTAGAGACAGACAGGGTTTCACACCATGTTGTCAAGGCTGGTCTTGAACTCCTGGGCTCAAGTGATCTGCCCACCTTGGCCTCCCAAGGTGCTGGGATTACAGGCGTGAGCCACCGTGCCTGGCCAGGAAATGTCTCCTGTTGTTGAACTTTGGGATAATAGTAATAATTACTACCAGATCCTGAGCTCTCATCCTGGGCCAAGCAGTGTAGTAAGCACCAAGAGGACCAACGGGAACTGATTTATACCTCACAACTGCCCTATGGTGTAGTCACCATTATTTTTCCCATTTTACAGCTAAGGAAGTCAAGGCTCAGAGTTAAGTGTCTTACCTGAGGTCCCACAGCTAGTATGTGAGAAAGCCAGCAGCCAAAGCAGGTCTGTATGCCTGTGGCCACAGCGGCAAATGCTGCAACTTAATATTATATTATAGAATGCTCCACAGACTGTCCCAAGAATCCAATGAGTACTTAGGGAAATGTTGTTATCACCTTATCCCTGTGGAGAGGCAGCTGCTGCGAGACTGCAGTTACATGTGGAAGGCACAGCTGGGAGGCTGACAAGTCCTGCCACTTTCTTCCGCACCTTCACCCAGGACCATTTCACACCAATATCTTTTCAACCAGCTGCTTTGGAACATAAACCTAAGCTTCCAGCCTCCACCTGTAGGCCCTCCACACTGGCTGGGGAAGACTGGAAGAGGGTTGGGGCAGTGCAGGGGAGGGGCTGTACAAAGGAGGCCTGCCGGAGGCTGAGGGCTGGATGGGAAGGGGAGGCAGAGGGAACTTGAATGGCAGGAATGTATTTCACCCCACAGACTGAGTCTTCCAGCATTAGCTCCTATATCCGTGTAATAGCTGGGACCAGACTGAAGTTTTATTTTGTGCTAAATGGAATGGTCAGGAACTAATAAGACAAGACAATTGAATCCACCTTTCAAAGAGAGCAAAATTGTCCTGAATTGTTATTAGATGGTTATGGTCATCCTGGGCTTTCTATTAAATGGAAATAACACTGTGGCTGTCTTTTTTTTTTTTTTTCCACTCAAAAATGTTTTCCTTGCTTTCTGGGTTCTCTGCGTGGCTTTTCGAGGACTGTACACTCTACCTTTTTAAGGGCTCTATAAATTCTTGTCTATTTCAGGCTAGATATGCAGTGTGATTTTGTGGCCTAGGAGATTTGTAATACAGCCTTCATGTCTGGGTGATCTTCTGCCACACGCAGGGGGAAAAATCTCATTTTCAGGTGCTTTGGACTGAGACACGTAGAAATAATCTTGCAAGAGCAATATTCACCACCCCTCTGCTGTCCCGGCCCCTCCCGCCCATCCCCAGGGGAGTAGGGCTGCTCGCTCGGTGCAACTTCCTCCATTTGATGGGCATCCTGTGACTGAGGACGAGGACACAGCCTGTGTCACTGTCACCCTGGGCTACACGCCAGCCCGGTTGAGCAGGTGAACCCACTAGTCACAAGGGTGGGAAGGCACCCCGGCCTTACATTCACTGAGCCACTTGTTGGGATCCAGCATCAGATACTGTTTGGTCGCCTCCAGCTCCTTCATCAGCCACTCGTACTTCGCGCGGACCTCGGCGATCCTCTGCTGGCGGTGTTCCAGAATCTTCAGCTTTGCATTGAAGCACATGGCCTCCTAGCACACAGACAGAGAGGAGAAAGGGCCCTTCTGCTCACACCCAGCCCACACCACAGGAGCACCTGTGAGTATCGTTGATGGAAAACAGGCTGGGCTTGGAGACGTGTGGGAGGGACATGGGTCATCCCCACCAAATTCTCCCTTGACAGACCTCAATTCAGACACCTCACAAGGTAGGACTATGACAGACCATTCTTGGACTATGACAGACCATTTTTGGACTATGACAGGCCATTCTTAAGTTGAGAAAGCAGGTGGTGGGTGTTCAAGTTGGACAAAGGTTGGTTAAGACTGGGAGCCTCAAGGAGCCAGAAAAGCCCCCAAGATCACCAGCCCCCGACCCCTGGCTTTGAAGCCCTTAAAACATTTCAGGAAGAGAAACATGGGGCTCTCTCCAAGGCCTCTGTCCAAAGGCCCTTTGCTGGGACAGAAGCCCCCTTCCCACCACCCATGCCAGAAGCCCGCTGGGAAGCCCGGGTCTGAGTTTTCTTCCCCAGGGCCCTGCCTAGCACCTGCTCAGGCTTGGTGGGGAGCTGCCACCACGTAGGCAGGGGGTGGGAAGGAGGCTGCCTCACCTTGCTGGCACCCCCTCGTCGCCGCTGCAGGCGCTCCACGTCATCGATTTCATAGACTTTAATCTCAAAGGGTTCCCCAAGGCCCCTCGGGCTGCTCCGCAAGGGGCCATCCACCCAGCGGACGCCTGTGCTGTTGGGGGGTTTTCTCACAGGGGAAGAGGTGTCCAGGGATAGTGCTGGGATAAGCCTCCGTCTCTGAGAACCTGAGGAGGGGGATAAGCCCAGAGAGTTAGTCTTTCTGAATTTCAATTTTTTTGTTGTTTTTTTGAGACAGGGTCTTGCTCTGTTGCCCAGGCTGGAGTGCAGTGGTGCGATCCATAGCTCACTGCAGCCTTGAATTCCTGGGCTCAAGCAATTCTCTTGTCTCAGCCTCCTAAGTAGTTGGGATAACAGGTGCACACCACCACACCCAGCTAATTAAATGTTTTTTTTTGAGAGACGACATCTTGCTATATTGCCCAGGCTGGTCTCAAACTCCTGGCCTCAAGTGATCCTCCCACCTTAATCTCCCGAAGTGCTGGGATTACAAGTGTGAGCCACTACACCCTGAAATTCAGCTGAAGCCTGAATTTCAATCTTTTAAATATTTTGTGGATGTAACAGAGGAGGTCATGACAAGCACCCCAGGATCTGAGGTAGGGCTAAACACTCCCACTTCCCACCACCCACCTCCACCTCTACTCCCCTAAACCAACACTTGGGCTTTAGCTCAGCAAACTCCCTGAGGAATCTTTAGAACCGCCTCCTAGTTTCCACCTGTAAAACACGCAGCCTAGGGGGCATCCTCAGCATGGATAGGTCAAAAGGTCCTAGCATTTGATGTCATTACAGGAGTTCCAGAAAACACTGTTTATTTGCTTATAACAGCAGCAGTAGCACTCACATGCACTGGTTACGTGCCTGGTACTATTTCACACACTTCACACGTTGTGACGAGGACGGCTAGTTCTCTCCCAGTATCTATCCTCTTTCTTTCACAGCAGAAGAGACCCTGGGTATTAGTGAAGCACATGGCTCCCAGAATGGAGACTAAACTCTTGCATGGTACAGGGGACTGACGTTTTGATGAGCAGATGCCAGCTGAAGCATGCCTCCTCCAGGAGACAACAAGGGGCACTCACTGCTGTGTTAATTTTCTCTATGGAGTGAACTCTGGGCTCCGAGCTCCTTTTGCTTCATATTAAACCTCACTGTTTTTGAGAGGGAGTCTCACTCTGTCGCCCAGGCTGGAGTGCAGTGGTGTGATCTCAGGTCACTGCAGCCTCTGCCTGCTGGGTTCAATCAATTCTCCTGCCCCAGCCTCCCAAGTAGCTGGGACTACAGGCGCCCGCTACCACGCACGGCTAATTTTTTGTATTTTTAGTAGAGACAGGGTTTCACGATGTTGGCCAGACTGGTCTCGAACGCCTGATCTCAAATGATCCACTTGCCTCAGCCTCCCAAAGTGTTGGGATTACAGGCATGAGCCACTGTGCCCGGCCAAAACCTCACTTTTTAGAGCCCAGATTTGATCTTGTGTAGACACATACACAATCGCATTTAGTTTCCAACAAAGTGCAGGCCCCAACTAACGAAACTAAGTAACATCGACCACGGGAATAAAGCAAATGTCTGTCTCCTTAGCGTGAGACACCTACCCTGGGAAGGGACCAGATCAGAGGGGTTTTTTTCTTTTAAATCAGTCTGATCAAGCTAGCTGACTGTTTGTTGGCAAACTGTTTAGCTTCTGTGTGCCTCAACTCTAGCTTCCAAATGGCTGCTGTGTAACAAATAAACCCCAAACCCAGCGGCTAAAACAACAAACATTGATCTCACATATCCCTGTGGGTTGGGAATCTGGGAGCAATTTTTGCCAGGTGGTTCTGGCTCAGAGCCTCTCGGAGTCGCAGGCAAGCTGTCAGCTAGGGCTGCACTCATCTGAAGGCTTGACTGAGGTTGAAGCTTCCATTTCTAAGCTCACTCATGTCATCATGGCAGGAGGCTTTAGTTCATTGCCATGCAGGCCTCTCCTACACAGGACTATTTATGACATGGCAGCTGGCATCCCCCAGAGGGAATGACCCAAGAAAGCAAGAGGGGCACCCAGCACAGAAGGTGCAGTGTCTTTTATAACCTACTTTTGAAAGTGACATACCATCACTCTGCCTTACCTCACTCAACAGAGACCAACTCTGGTAAATACGGGAGGGGACTACACAAGGGTGTGAACACCAGGAGGCAGAGACCATGGGGGCCATCTTGGAGCCTGGCTACCGCGGATGGGATATGATCAGATGGGAAAATGTCTTGGATAAGAGCCACCCTCCATCTCCTGCCAATACCCGTGCCAGGGCACCGTGTGAGATGGGAGTAGAGAAAAACACCTGGAGAGTCCTGCCAATACCCGTGCCAGGGCACCGTGTGAGCTGGGAGTAGAGAAGGTAAAAACGCCTGGAGAGTCCTGCCAATACCCGTGCCAGGGCACCGTGTGAGCTGGGAGTAGAGAAGGTAAAAACACCTGGAGAGTCCTGCCAATACCCGTGCCAGGGCACCGTGTGAGCTGGGAGTAGAGAAGGTAAAAACACCTGGAGAGTGACATTTCACTGGGCTACAACAGCTTCACAGAAATATCCTGGCGGGTATCTACTTCCTTCCCATTGCCTCCTTTCCATGCCATCTAGCAACCTTGAACTTCCTCACCACATCGATCCCTCTCAAGGTGAAGTGAGTGCCCACTGTCAGGTTAGGTGTGGTTTGGGGGCTAGGAATACCTTTTTCCTGCACACGAATGAACAAGTGTCTTGGATTTTCGTAAAATTCTGAATTTGGGTACCAGAACCTCAATCCCGTGAATGGATTGATACTCAGTTCCTGCACCTCCAGCTGAGGCTCCCTCTCCCCGCGCCTGTCTCCCTCCAGAGGTGCATGTGAGCTTCACTTAGGTGATGGTGAGGGAAGCCAAGTACTGGGGCAGGGGTAATGTGGTCAGGCTGAGGAAATGGAGTGAAGTGGCCTGAAGGGAGTTCAGGGGCGGAGATGGTGCCCTCACATTACTGGAAAGGGCACAGGAAGCGATGTTACTGCTATGCCATCCCTGGGCAAAGAAAGACTGACCCGAGGGTCCTGGTCTGGGGCCCCATATAAATAAGGGTTCTTAGATTTTCTGCATGCTCCAGCATTTCCACCTCTCAAGCAGATGCCCAGTTTTCTGCCAAGCCCGGTCTCTGCCAGGGATCCCCTCCTTCCAGGCTGCGAGTGGGGTCAGGGGACCATCAGCTCTAAGAAAGGTACAGGGGAAGCCCCACCCTGGCGGGAGTCGTGTGGTGCCCCATTGGACGCCGCCTGTCTGATCGGGGAGCCACAGCCAGGGCCAGCCTCCTGCTGACGCCGGTGGGTTGGGCTCCCTTCTGCTTTTCAACCCCTCCCTGCTCATCAGCCTGGCATTTGGTCCAGGCATGTACAAGTGCAGCATGTTCAAAACACTTGGGCTGATACCTGCCGACATGGATTTACCGCATGAAATGGCCCAGATTTGACCTGAGAAAGTCAACACTGATACTTCAGTGAAACTTCCAACCAGGACCTCTCCCACTAACAGAGGCTGAGCCCACCCCCTCGCCCCTCCTGTTCCAGGCCTGGCTGACAGCTGCGTGCAGTCAGAGGGGTCGCTGGCCCATCACAGTCCATCTTCCGGTATCATCTGCGGTGCTGACAGCCCACGTGAGAAGCTGACATTGGGCCTTCTACTCTTAACATCCCTGAGTCCAGACAGAAGTCCCCACACGAGTCTGCAGATGCTGCTGCTGAGGTTAAGTGTTGGGAAACATGGGTGTTCTGAGTGCTGAGCCCTCTCAGCTCCCCCTGGGGAATATGCTTCTGCCCATTCCCAAACTCCTGCTCCTGAGAGCCCTCCAGCATGGCTTTCGCTCCATCGCCCACTGTCTGCATTCTGATTCAAAGAGTAGGCACTAGGAAGACAGTCAAAAAAGCACGAGGCACTAATGTTGAAAGGAACTGTAGATATCAGAGCAGAGAGAGAAAGAGAATGTGAATCAATCCATGTGATTTTGTTGACCAGGAAGGGGCCAGCTCCATGATGAAGAACGATGCTGGCTGTGTGGCCTGCTGTCATGTTTTAGCTGAAAAGGCAAGTGCTCCCGTGCTGGGGATGAGAAAGAGGCAGGTTCTCCAGGGCCACAAAGCTCTCCTCGATGCCGAGCCTGGGCTTCCTCCCGTGTTCTCTGCGATTCCGAACCCCGCACCTAGGACCACAGTGTCATCTCACAGCATCAGCGCCACCTACTCTCTTTGGGGTTCTATTCTAAGGAGCTTCCTTGGTGTCTGAGAGAATCAATGACTCTCCTCCTTTTCCCCCAACTGTGTATTCAAAAAGGCTCTCATTCTGAACCTATTCTCAACTGGCTCTAGGTTGGTTCGCTTAGAAACATTCTGGAAATCTGAAGTCTGACAGCAAGCGGCTTGCCTTCCTCTGGTTTTCATTAAGCCAGTGATCACTGTGCTGCTTGAATTTATTAAAACAAAACCAGGATGTGCCTGAGAACCAAACGAATAGGAGAGGTTGGCAGAGCAAACCATGGTGCCCTCGGTGAGGAGCAATTAGTCACAAGTTTTTGTGCAGCGCCCTGGGAACTGAACCTGGTAGCCTGGGAGCTCAATTCACTACAGGTGCAAGTCACAACTCACAAGACAGGCCCATCAGTCAGTAATGTTGACTCAGCACCAAGAGAAAGGCACAGGGTCTGGCGCTTAGAATGACAAAGTAGCAGACTAGACTCAACACTTAAAGCACTTAGCACCAGCAGGAAAAGATATGAGAAATACACAGAAAATAAACATGAGTAAACTTTCAGGACTGTGCCGCCAACCAAGCAACCAGCCCATCAATGAATCAACCAATAATATCCAACAGTAACCTGCACCAGCCCAGTGCTGGGCACCAAGCAGGCTGGGTCGAGCGCAGAACAGGCCTTGCTCATGTCCAGGCGGGCCAAGGTCTGGAGCATTCCAGAACCTCCATGCTTCCCTGAGGGGCTTCTCTTCAGGCAGACCCTCCCTCACTCCAGGGCTTTTCTGGTGCTGAGCCTCCCTGTGGTGGGAATGAATTTAATTCAGACCAAGGTGCTCATCTAACTGTCAGACTTCCCCATCCAGTCCAAGAAAAGGAAAGCAAGGGAAAGAATCCAAGGAAGTAACACACCAGGATGAGGGTGAAATGTTAAGAGACTGGAGGAAGAAAATAGGATTGACATAACATATAATGGATGATAGGGGACGGGGGAGCGCGAGGACTGGGGGCTCAGGGTAGGGGCTCAGCTGGTGTAATTATGGCATCAACTGTGTATCACAGATTGACATCCTCAGCTGCTGATATGTGCACTGGCCAGGACAGACATTCCCTTCCCTCCTGGGCTCATTCTTGGCTCTGGGCTATACACAATTTCATCTTGCTGACCATAGAGGGGCTGGCAAGGAGCTGTGGATGAAGCAATGAAAATCCATCAATAAAAGCAACATCATTTCTCTCACCTTATCACGTTGTTGGTCAAGAGCCTGTAATGACTCCCCATTGCCAACTACAATAATATACTGATATTCTTTTAGAACTATGTAGAATATAGAATAATGTGTACTGTTCTTGTAGCTCCCAGATGTTCCAGGTGTGACTGTGGCTTGTGTTTGTTCCGGGTGTGACTGTGGCTTGCGTTTGCTAGCGTCTTGCTCTGCTTGCTGGGACGGTCCCTCCTTGAGTTAATCTCGCTGTGTCGCCCACAGGCCAGGCTCTTGCCGCTGGGAGTTTGCAGTCCCATCCCTGCCTCAGCCTCGATGCCCTGCGCCCTCTCTGCCTGTCCCGATGTAAGCACCCTCCCGGACCAAGCTCAATCCCGACATTTCTCTGCAGCCTTTGCCTTGCAGGATCCTGCTTTGTCTAAATGCTCTCTCCACTTGGGCCTTCACTACCCCACTCAGCATCTGGGAATGCACTCAGTTCACTGTTCTCTATTCCACGCTTTTCACCCTTTCTCTCCAATTAGATTACAAACTTCTTACAGTGGCCTTGTCCCCTGTGCCGGCTGCCTCCACCTCCACCCACACACCAGAAACTATCACCAAGCTCTAAGAGCACAGAAGATACCTGGTCAATGTTGAACAACTGAAAATAAACCCCACTGACTACAGATTGCTCTAAGGAAAAGACATCACATGACCATAACATTATTTAAATTATCTGCATAGTCTCATATGATGTGGGCAGCAGAGAGACCATGGCTATTACCTATCAATCTTCTCGTTTTACTTGCATATGAGAAAATTGAAGCTCAAAGAGGACAGTTATTCCCCAAAGGTCACACAGCTCAAGATTCTAAGCCTCCTCCTGCTTTCTAACTTAATTCACTGCACCCTGCTATGGCCGGTGGAACAAGCCCAATGCTGCACACTCCTCAGCAACATGGACCTCCAAGAATGAGAAGACAAGAAGGAACCACGGTGATATTTGGTCGTTTCTGCTGTTACATGTACTACCAAGGAATCAGAGAGGTCAAGGTTATTTTCCCAATAATTCTAGTTCATTTTTACTAAGGAAATAAGCATTAAAATATTCCAAATTCAAAAGCCATCTCAGACAAAAGATGTCTCCTCTCTGGTTCCAAACACCTCTCATAATTGTAAACTCTAGCCATCTAGTTAGGAATTTCCTTGGAGGAGTTTTATAGCTTCTCTTAAAGAAGTTGCTTTTGATTTATGCTGACCATGTCTGACAGCCACCGTTTCTCTTAATAATAATCATAAATAAGCCAGACAAGGTCACCTAACCTGAAACCAGCACATCTCCACTGCCACATCCATCATGGAGCCTGGATCTACAGCAGCTCATCACAAAGGTCTTCTGCTCTTGACATTCCACATGAAATCCATTTCTAGCACCTGCCCTGGCATTTTAATTTTACACTGTTTTCCTCCAATAGCCTTACCTAACCAGAGGCTCCTAGAGGACAGCATTTACGAGAGCACTTAGCCCAGAGCAAGGGCGTATGCAGAGCCTGCTGCCTGCTCGCCAAGCAGTCACTTCACACGTTTGTTTTTCCATCATTGTTCTTCCTCTTTACTCCACTGTAACCGCCAAACCAAACAATAAAAGTCTTGGGGAAAAAAACAAAAACCTGTGAAAGCCACGGAAATAATGAAATGGACTGGTAGACGCAAGGCACTAAATTTGAGTCCATGAAAGCACTGTGGGACACTGAAACACACGTGGCCACGCAGCCGATGCCACACAGTCATCTGGACTTTGAAGACCGAGGCTGCGTGGATTAGAATAACAAGAGTTCATTAACCAGGTACTGGGAAGGCCGGCAGATGCTTTCCTGCTTGTTATTTTTACTCTCATCAATACGTTTCAATGCCCTTGGCCCTGGCCATAAGACACAGAAGCTGCTACGTTACACGGAATGGCTCTTCCTTTTCAACTTGTCTTAAATGGGGTTCTGCTCCAAGTGCTGTCACCGAGATTGAGGGGTGAAGTAAAGCAGAGTCAAAGCGTATCAAAGACTGAAGCATACCCCCCCCCCAGGCAAATAAAGATGTCAAGGTACTGACAGCCACGATGATTCCCTACCATGCTTAGAGCCTAACATCCCCATGGCCAAGTTCTGTGATCTGTGATGAGGGGAGCGGATGGGGCTGTCTATATCATAAAACTACATCTGCATAACTACACCATCCCTTAAGGTGGATTTCTTTGATTCTAGGAAGAGGAATGGTTTATAATGTTCACTGACCACAGCCCTTACATTTGGAACATTCCAGAGTTTGTGCTCGCCTGTGGTGGGAGAACAGGAAGAAGCCACCCCATGACAGAGAACAAGCCTGTGGGGCAGTTGCTGGAGCAGTAGGAAAGGGGAAGCCCTACATCTGTGTCTCACCCCATCTTTTACTTCCACATATGCTGCGGGCACGGATCCCTGCAGGGACCTGGCTTCTGAGAGCATGTGAAGAGCCTAGTGTTGCACAGAAGGGCAGCGGGAGGGGAGAGACAGGCCAGGAGGGCAGGAACCCGGCCGCCCTGGCTTCAACCAAGCCACAGAATTGCACGTGGGGTTCTGCGTAAATTTCATTTATTTTTTTTTAAGCCCTTAAAGGATGAGCAGGGGTAATTTCTTTGGAAGCCACTTATGAGCAGAGATGATTCCAGGCAAAATTCTCAAGTAGCTTCAGTTGTTCTTGGGAACTTTTGCCTCTGTCTGTCTTTTTCTCTCCTTACCATCCTTTCATTTCTCCTACCCCAAGACCTCCAGGGCCACCAGCTCTGACCCGGGTCCTCTTCTCCTTGCCCATCATAACTTACTGTCATGTGCCACCCAAGACTCCAATTAACAAGTCTGTGGGCTTTATATATTAATTATTCTGGAGTACGTGCCTTTTGATAGGAGATTCTTAAAAATGACAAAGACTGACTGGGTGTGGTGGCTCACGCCTGTAATCCCAGCACTTTGGGAGGCTGAGACGGGCGGATCACTTGAGGTCAGGAGTTCGAGACCAGCCTGGTCAACATGGTAAAACCTTGTCTCTACCAAAGATAGAAAAATTAGCCAGGCACGGTGGTGCACGCTTGTAATCCCAGCTACTCAGGAGGCTGAAGCAGGAGAATCACTTGAACATAGGAAGCAGAGGTTGCAGTTTGGCAAGATCACGCCATTGCACTCCAGCCTGGGCGATAGAGTAAGACTGTCTCAAAAAAAGGAAAAAAAGAAATGGCAAAGACTTTCTCCAAAATCACGCATTTCAGGCATCATGGTGTGTGTGGCGGGGGGCACTGCAGGCCCTGTGGCAGGTGTGCAAACATGACTGTCCACAAATATGTTTGGGGTGGAGGTGGAGGAAGGGCCTCGCCATTCCACTTTCAATGGGACAATCTGTGCGTTATCCCACATCCCTGAGAGAGGCTGCCAGGGTCTTGCAGGCCACCAACCTCACAGGAGGGGCTTCTGAAGCCACCAGGTCATGAGGGTAGGTACCCTCACCTGATCCCTCAACAGGCTGTAAACCGTCCACAGGATCCTTGGTTGTTGAACAGAGGGGCAGGGGTGAGGGAATGGACGGCGAAGAGCCAGGCTGCCCCCAGAGCGAGCAGGTGCGGGTCATGCTGCCACCTGCATCCGGGCCCTCGCCTTTCCACCCTGCTGAGCGCCAAGGGATTCACGGCCCTAAGCCTGATGACGGCACGCAGTAGGGCAGTTTCTCACAGAGAAACCCTCCGCGGTGATGTCCCCGGCGGAGCCCCGCGGGGTGCCGGGCCGTGGGAAAGGAGAGGCCAGGCCTGGACGCCCCCTCCCCAGGGCACGGGACACCCTGGCAGTGGGGTTTGGGCAGTTCGCCCACCTGCAAGGAGAGGCCAGGCCTGGACGCCCCCTCCCCAGGGCACGGGACACCCTGGCAGTGGGGTTTGGGCAGCTCGCCCACCTGCCGCCCTCCTCACCCGCGTCCCTGCGCCCAGCCGCCTACCTGGATTGGAGCGTTTCTTCGGGGTCTTGAGGCTCCGGCACCTGCCGCCCACGGAGCTGCTGTTCTCGCTCGTGGAGTCCTGCGCCGA
The DNA here is from genome assembly GCF_000001405.40 of Homo sapiens. Taxonomy (NCBI): domain Eukaryota; kingdom Metazoa; phylum Chordata; class Mammalia; order Primates; family Hominidae; genus Homo; species Homo sapiens. Next base: position 245,688,719 of record NC_000001.11, on the reverse strand, counting down.
GGACGCGCTGCCGGTGGCCTCGCTGTCCCGCATCACGCTCTCGTAGCCGCTGCTGCCGCCGCTGTGGTAGAACAGGGCCGTCTTCCCCATGGCCGGCGGGAGCTCCCCGCTCAGCACGCTGCTGTTGTCGCTGCCGTGGCCGCTGCTGCAGCGGTGGGGCCTCCGCGGGGGCGTGATCTTGCTGTAGGGCGACGGGAGCAGGTGCGCGGCCGCGGGCTCGTCCTCGGCCAGGGCCCCCCCGCGCGCCTCCGCCTCGGGCCCGGCCCGCAGCTGCAAGCCCCGGGCGCCCGCGCCACCCTGCAGCAGCTCCGAGATGCGCCCGCTGACGGCCCGCAGGGGAAGCTTGGAGGCCAGGCCCGAGCTCCTGTTCCTGCTGAGGGACTGCGTGGACCAGGGCGTGTGCTTCCCACCGGGGGGCGAGCTGGAGCCCTGGCCCACCGCCTGCGGCAGGGACTTGGTGGAGAAGCTGAGGGTTTTGGTGGTGGAGGCGGACGGGCCGCGCGCTCTGGGGCTGGCCAGGAGGAGTCTGCTCACGGCGGAGATCTTGGACTGGCCGGCCTTGGGCGAGGCCCCGGAGCTGGGGGGCGAGGTCCCGGCGCTGCGGCCCAGGCTCCTCCCCGCGCGGGGCATGGTGCCGTCCTTGCCCGCGTGCAGCCGGGAGCTCACGGAGGACAGGCTCTCGGCCCGCTCCAGGGAGAGGCATTCGTAGTGGCTGACTGTCGCCCTGCCCAGCGAGTTGCTTCTGCTGGCCAGCTGCTCCAGCTTGGCACTGAAGAGCTTGCTGCTGCTGCTGGCGTCCTTCGTCTTGCCGCTAGGCTCGTCTGGGAGGCCCGCCGGGAAGGCGGCTGGTTGGTTCAGGGGGCTGCTGGTGCCGCTGCCGCTGGCACTGTGCTGAGGGCTGGCCCGGTTCTTCTGGTCCAGGCTGGACTTTCGGACAGGGGGCAGAGGGGGAGTCCCTTTGGGCCGAGCCAGAACACAGTGCTTGGGGGAAGCCACCTTCCCCTCCAGGGTAGCCTTGGAGGGCGGGGTGCCCGAGGCTGCACCCACCCCGTTGGTCTCAGCAGCGCAGTAATAGGAGAGGCTGTCCGGCTCCTCCTGCCGGCTGGCCTTCTGAAAGGCCCTGGGAAGGCTGCTGGACTTGACGCTTTTGTTGGGATGCACGGGGCTCTGGGTGGCCAAACCGGGCAGGGCCATCTCACACCCATCCACGACCCTCCTGAAGTTGTCAGTGACCGGGGAGGCCGACACCTCTCCGCTGCTGCTGCTGAGCCTGTCTCCCGGACTGGGCTTTCCGTCCTGCTCCTGCTCTGCTCTGGTCTCAGCATTCGAGGGGCCCGTGGCAGTCTCACACCTCATCATCCCTTCTTCATTGGGATGAGCCGTCTCTTTTTTCACTTCCTCTTCTCGTTTCAGCCACGGGTCCTCAAATTTCATCTCTTTCTTTGCACTGTTTTCCTTACTCTCCCGGGACTGGGCTAATGTGGGGCCTGCTTTGGGGGTGGCGGTGGGGGCCTCCGGCTCTTGGATGTTCCGGGGGCTCATGGCAATGCAGGGGTAAACTGTGATATTGGTCTTCATGGGGATGTACCCCTCGCAGCTGCTCAGATTGGCCGTGTTGGAGATGGTGACCATGGCCTTGCTCACTGTGGATATTTTGCAGCCTTTGATGGGGGCTGCTTTGTTGAAAGAGTCATCTCCCATCTCAGACAGGATGAGCAAGTTGTCGGGGCTGGCCTTGGGCTTCTCTCTGCACACCACAGCGGTGTTCTGGAGGCTGCTGACAAACTCCGAGGCCACAGGTTCTGCCATTGCCTCCCCGTGCCCAAAACACGTCTGGGCTATGAAACTGTGGCACGACTGCTCACCCTCACTGCCCGCGCTCATCTCGCTCAGCCAGGAGCTGATGGAAGAGCGTCTGCTCCCTGCGTCCTGGGCCTTCTCATCCAGGCTCATCTTCGGGAGGGGCAAGAACTGTGTGATGCTGACCTCGGAGACGGGGGCCGTGCTGGAGTAGCACTCCAGGTCCTCGCTGATGCTGCTGATGATGCTGACGGGCCGCGAGCCCGAGGCCAGGGCCCGTGCAGAGCAGTCGCTGTTGAAGCTGATGATGCTGGTGGGGCGGCCGCTGTCCAGGACCCCGCTGATGGTCAGCTCCTCCACCAGCGTGAACACCAGCTCGTCCTCACCGTTCAGCTCCAGTGGCTGCTGCACCGTCACCATCGTGGTGCTCAGGATCTCCTTCTTGGACTCTGAAGGAGTAGCTGCCTGCTGCTCATCATCGACAGGAGTTTCCGGGAACCCTTCGCTCCCAGCAGACATGGATTTTTTCAAAACCTGGGGGCTCATTCCAACCGGGGGCGTACGCACCTCGGGCTGCAGCAAGGACTCCCTAGACGCCACGCCGGAATCCTTGCTCGAGGGAGGCAGTGGGGCGGGAGACGGCAGGACCCCCTTCTGGGTGTAGACTTTGCATCTCTGGGAAGGAGAGCTGGGTGGCTTGTACTCCGAGGTCTTGGACAGGCTGGCGATGCCCAGCCGGGGGGAGCCCATGGGCCTGGGCTTGCCTTCCACGAAGCCGCAGGAGTTGAGGCTCTCCCGGCTGCTCTGGAGGCTGGGGCTCTGCACGAGTGGGGAGGCGCTGTGCTGGCTACTGCTGCCCGGGACGCTCCTGGGTGAGGCCGGGCTGGGGCTGTGGGCGGGTGCCGCGGCGGGCACAGGTGAGTGACTCCTCTGCATCTTGGAGGCTGGGAGTTCAGGGCCTTCTCTGTTGGTCAGCTGACCTTCGGACCCATTATCTTCCTTATCAGACTCAGAGAGTGGGCTTGCCCCCGCTGCTTGGCTTAACCGGGGGCCTCTGCTTGCCTGCTCTGGCCCAAACTGAGCAGGCAGTTCTTCGAAAGGAAAGCTGCTGGGCTCCTCGCTGCCGTCGATGCAGTCCAGCCTCTCCTGCAGCTCGGCAAACGTGTTGCACTTCAGGCAGTCCCTTTCTGACTTGCCGGCTGCAGCCTCTCCTGCCTCTGCGGGCCGGCTGTCGCCCCGGGTCTTCTGCAGGGCTGGCACGATAGGGACAAAGTCTGGGGGGCCCTCGTTGTCGGTGAGCTCCTTGTCAGAGAGGGCCGTGCCGTTGGGCCCGATGTAGATGACGGTGTCGCAGGACTGCTCGCTGCTGGAGGAGTAGTCGGGGTCGCTGGACAGGTGAGCGATGGGGAAGTCAGGGTCCACCGTGGCCCTGGTGTGGAAGGGTCTCAGCTGGGTGGGCCTGCGCATGCGGCCTTCTTCGCAGGAGCTCTCCCCGCCGGACGAGCTGGATGTGTACTGTGAGTGAGACGGCAGTTAATGTGGTGGCCTTTCCGTGGCAGTTTCCCCGGGAGCCCAGCTGTGCGCGGCAAGTGGTGAAGGCCCCTGACGACACAGGCTACTGACAGCCACCCCCGTTGGCCTCCCGCACGTGGGCCACTCGGGGTGCCATGCCCGCGCGCCCGGTGTCACATCACCACTGCATTTGTGAAGGGGAAGCCCCGTGTGGCACGCTGGGGAAACAGCTGCTCAGGAAAGGGGGTGACCATCCAGGCCCTGCCTGACCAGCTAAGGGCTGCTGGCTCACCAATGTTTGGCACCCTGTGCCGTGGAACTCTGGTTAAGAAACGCTATTTAAAGATAAAAAAGGTACAAAACAGAGAAGGGGGAAAAAGGCCCCCACCTCAGCAGCTGCCCCTGCCACTGAGTGGCCACGATCATGATGGTTTTCTCAACTACTTGCCACCCTGCCACCATCCTGGCTTGGCCTCTGCCTGAGAAAATGAGCCCAGCGATGTCCAGCAGACTCAGTATCATCCAGAAACCACTGAATTGCCAGGACAAAAGCAGCAGCCAGGGAGTGACTCCTGGACATGCAGCAGGGGAGGGGCCCTGAGAGCAGGGAGTTGAGAACCTCTTTGGTGCCAAGCCTTCGAAGGACACAGTCTCCACCTACGCAGGACCGAGGCCATGCATGAGAAAAACAATATTTTCCATCCCTCCAACGTTTTTCCTCTTGAGGTAGCAATCCATTTGTACTCTCTAAAGCGGACCAAGTGCTTCCGGTCAGGGGTCCAGGCTGGGTGACCAGGGCCAGCACCAGGTGTGGGGAGGTGACATGACTTTGTATCAGCCCCAAGGTTTCCCTGCCCCAAAGTGGACCCTGAGCCACGTGTTGTCAGCTCCAAGTCACATCTCCTGATGCTGGGGGATTGGCAACGTTGATTTGGCTTTTTCTGACTCTGTTCCAGGGCACGGCTCCAAAGGCTCCCTCATCCACCACCCCCCCACCCCGCGAGCTCCTTACCTTCGTCTTCTTTTTCTTCATCCTCAAGACTCTCGATGCAATCTGGATGGTGGACAGGGTCTCCGCGTAGCTCCCGACCGCGGCCGAGATGTGCGCGATCATGGTGGTACGGCAGTTCATGTTCCCCAGAGACTCCCGCAGCAACATGGCGAGCTTGCTCTCTCTGCCAAACAAAGTGAATTAGGCTGCATTAGCGGCCATGCTTCCCTGTGGCCCTCAGGGCAGGGCTTCAGGCCTGCACACGGCCATTTTGTTGTGGGTGGTGGTCCCCCCACCCTTTTTAATGGCATACTAATTAGCATCATTTTCCAGCATGGGGCTATTTGTAGTTGGCAAGCACCGAGCAAGTGCTTCTAACTCCAAGATGGAATCTGTGCAAAGCACCTCCCTTGGCGCTTCTGTCCTGGCTGTGATGGGATGTTCCTGGGCGTGTGTGTCTGTGACATTATACATAATGAGGCCTGGGAATAGAAACAAGAGGAGGGGATCAGGAGAAAGGGCTCTGTGCCTGGTGACTCGGCTTGCTGACTGCACGTGTGGCCTTTCTCCAGGGTTTCCACACACAGACAATCTTGCAACAAAAAGGAGTCCCCCTGCCACGAACCTGGATTAAAGATCGGTGGGTTTTTAATACCTGCACAGTTCCTTTAGCCAGGAAACTGCGGCTACTTTATTGGCATTGTCCCTTAACTCGCATATTTGCACCTAGTAGCACTGAAGGAAAAGGCATTCATATTCCTGAAGACTAGGGGAGAAACACAGAGAGAGGCCCAGCCAGTCACTCTATCCACAACAGAAAGCAGCACTTCCTATAGAGAGGCCTCCTCTGGCAACTGTGCAGGTGCTGTGCGGGGCCACTGCCCTGAGTGGTGATAATGAGGCCCTGGGGTTTGCAGGGAGTGTTGCTACGTCTTTGAATAGACCTGGAGAAATGGCTGGTTTTCTGTTCCTGTACTCGTCCCAGCATTTTTCCTGCCTTGCTTTTAAAGGCCTCTGTTTATTTCATCAACAGCACTCATACTCTCAACTGCTGCCAAATGTCATTGCATCTCTGGCACGTTCCCTGATCCTGAAGGGCTGAGGAAGCCTATTTCCCATGCCGCGTGCTCATATCTCCATGCTGTGTCTGCGATTCCAGATGAGAGGAATTCGTCCCCATGTCCATGTCTCATCACCCATCCCCTGCAAAGCTCCCTGGAGAGGGACTATCCAGCTCAGCAGACACTATGGGAGACTCAGGCCACTGTCAGCAGAGAGCAGACCATTTTACACGTGACCTGCTTCTGGCCTCAGGGAGGGAAGACTGTGGGGTAAGAGCAATAGCTTTTCCTTCTCATCTGGGATCAATTAAGGTGTAAGTTTGGCGACGCTGGGCTAAAGCTCACTTCCAGAGCAATGTAAGAATATACCAGGGCTTCCCTTCCAGCAAAATGACCAGTGATGAACGTGGCGAGGTAAGGGATATAGAGGAGGAGGAGGAGGAGGAGGAGCTGTGAAAGTTTAACTCCTTCAGAACGTTATCTGTCTAGCAGAAACCCACGGACAGCCGCACTCGACGAGGAAGCCAGGCCCCATTCCTGGCACACATTCTTAGCAGAGACGTTGCACCTGGATGCGTCTTGGGCTCTGTCTTCAATATGCGCAGTGGAGGGTGAGTTCTGCTCAGTTAGGTTGTGATCATATACAGTCAGGTCTTACATGAGTAGTGGAGGGTGAGTTCTGCTCAGTTAGGTTGTGATCATATACAGTCAGGTCTTACATGAGTAGTGGAGGGTGAGTTCTGCTCAGTTAGGTTGTGATCATATACAGTCAGGTCTTACATGAGTAGTGGAGGGTGAGTTCTGCTCAGTTAGGTTGTGATCATATACAGTCAGGTCTTACATGAGTAGTGGAGGGTGAGTTCTGCTCAGTTAGGTTGTGATCATATACAGTCAGGTCTTACATGAGTAGTGGAGGGTGAGTTCTGCTCAGTTAGGTTGTGATCATATACAGTCAGCTCTTGTTATTCATGGTAGCTGTGTTCTATAAAATATTTGTGAACACTGAATTTGTAAATACTGGGCCATTGTTCTTAGGGGAAATACAGTTTGGTGCAAAAGTAATTACGGTTTCTGTCATTTCGATGACTTTTTTTTTCTTTCTTTTTTTCCTAAGACAGACTCTTGCTCTGTTGCCCAGGCTGGAGTGCAACGGCACGATCTCGGCTCACTGCAATCTCCGCCTCCCAGGTTCAGGGGATTCTCCCGCCTCAGCCTCCGGAGTAGCTGGGACTACAGGCACGCGCCACCACACCCAGCTAATTTTTTGTATTTTTAGTAGAGACGGGGTTTCACCCATGTTGGCCAGTCTAGTCTCAAACTCCTGACCTCAGGCGATCCGCCCGCCTCGGCCTCCCAAAGTGCTGGGATTACAGGTGTGAGCCACTGCATCTGGCCCATTTCAATTACTTTTGCACCAACCTAACGTATGGTTTAGGTTTCTGTGAACCTCTGATGACAAAAGTTTCTTCAACTGGTCAATACGTAACCTTGTTAATAAGATGCTTTATTTAATACGTTTCTTCAAAATAATGAATTATATTTGGTATTTCTTTAAAATAAAACACTAGCCAAGAAGGGTTTAATACTTTCCTTCCCTTGGGTAACATGATTGTACATTTCTTTGGTGTCTAGCCTCACACCAATGCTATCTATTACATTAAATGTTCTCATCATCTGATGAATCCACACATTCAGCCACTTTTCATCTCTTCCATGGCTTCCTCATGTACTATAGCTGTTACCTTAGCACTTTCCAGAGTGGCCCCACATACAGATGGGCCGAAGGCGCATCCCCCTGTATCTCCACGTGACCCTGTGTAAGTCCCCAAGAAAACATACCAAAGACCGGCCGGGCGCGGTGGCTCATGCCTGTAATCCCAGCACTTTGGGAGGCCGAGGTGGGTGGATCATGAGGTCAGGAGATCAAGAACATCCTGGCTAACACGGTGAAACCCCATCTCTACCAAAAATACAAAAAATTAGCTGGGCGTGGTGGCGGGCACCTGTATTCCCAGCTACTCAGGAGGCTGAGGCAGGAGAATGGCGTGAACCCGGGGGGTGGAGCTTGCAGTGAGCCGTGATCGCGCCACTGCACTTCAGCCTGGGCGACAGAGCGAGACTCTGTCTCAAAAAAAAAAAAAAGAAAAGAAAACTTACCAAAGACCGGATAAAAGGATGTAACGTGGTGACATCAAGCTGGCTGCCCTGTGCGCTTCCTCTTCCTTTTTCTGGGTGTGTGTATTCTTGATTCATTAACACTAGACCCCCATGAGCACTGTAGCTCCTACCTGAAAGAAGTGTGTCTAACACATGGATTTTCTCCATAAGGCACATCACAGCCTTCCTGTGCTTAGGGACCCTAAATAGGACATCAGCACCATTCTTGGGGGCCGTTTACAGCAAAATAACCATCAGAAAGCACAAAAATATGAAAAACACAGTGCTAAGGAGACTGCAAAAAGGACACATGTGCACGATATGAGAGCCAAACGTGAAGGCAGAGCTTTGCACGCTCCACCTCGGCGGGGAACGCGTGCATCTGGCGACTCAGTATCTTCACCCCTCTGCCCGTGTCGGAGAATGACTGTGAAACCGCTGTATTGATTTTGGGGTTACAAATGCATTTCAGTGAGTAGGTGAATGTGCAAATACAGAATCTGCAAAAGATGAGGACTGCCTGCACTCTGAAGTTCCCCGTCGTCTTGTTAACCCACTGCACACAGCTGACGGCAGATCCCCTGGGTCTCCATGTGACATTACCCAGGAAGACAGACCAAAGACAGAATTGAGAGAGAACATCGTGATAGCGAACTGCCTGCCCTGTGTATTTCCGCGACTCCCCACCCATGACTCAATCACATGGTAAAATGTTTACTGCGACTCCCCACACCTGACTCAATCATATGGTAAAATGTTTACGGCGATTTTTTTAAGTCTACATTGTGGAAAGAAGCAGCGGCATGTATGCTGCTTAGCAACCGGCATTTTAGCTCTCCTTGTGGAAAGCAAACCGGTAGAGCTGCTGGTGAGCCCTTCATGTGGGCCTCTGCGGACTCTAAAAGATGTCCTTTGGGGAGTAAAACATGGTGCATAGAAAGCTGCGGCTTTCCCAACCTCATGATGATCATTTAACTTGGAATAAAGACAACCAAGTAAGGGAGGGCAGGGGAGGGAAGGGGCAGGGTACTGAAGGCTGCAAACTGTAGGAGGAACTCGGAATCTTTGGAGGGAAAGAGAAAGGTTCAAAAGAGTTTCCAGGGCAACAGTCAGCACAGACTTAGCCCACTCTTTGCATCAAGTCTGAAGAGAGAGGAAGAGAAAAGAGGAAGAAGCGTGCAGGGCCGCTGGCCACCCCCTCCCCAGAGCCAGGCGGGAGGGATGGAGGGAGGTGGTGCCTGGAGGGGTTTGGGTTGGGGGGCCCTGGCTATGGAGGACAGGTTGGGCAGGCACAGGAAGGGACTGGGGATGGAGCAGAGCTGACGGGGGCCTGAGGAAGGACCGCACCGCTCTTTCAAGTAGTTGTGTTTACGCATACATGTTTCACTCCCTGCCTACACTGACCACACTTGCCTTTGAAAATAAATTTATGCTGGGCACCGTGGCTCACGCCTGTAATCCCCACACTTTGAGAGGCTGAGGCGGGCAGATCACCTGAGATCGGGAGTTTGAGACCAGCCTGGCCAACATGGTGAAACCCCATCTCTACTAAAAATACAAAAATTATCTGGGCATGGTGGCGCGCGCCTATAATCCCAGCTTCTCAGGAGGCCGAGGCAGGAGAATCACCTGAACCCAGGAGGCAGAGGTTGCAGTGAGCCGAGATTGCGCCACTGCACTCCAGCCTGGGTGACAGAGCAAGACCTTGTGTCAAAAAAAAAAAAAAAAAAAAAAAAAAAAACACACACAAAAAAAACACAAAAAACCCCCAGATTTTTAGAAAAATGTCTTTTTAAAATCAGTGAACACTTATTAAACAAGAAAAAGGACAAAAAGAACAGGATAATGAACACACTTTAATAATCATTTTTAAAGGCATGAAAGAGCATGTTATCACTCAGGCACAGGGCTGACCAACCAGGGTCCTGCAGGCCCAAGCTGGCACACTGCCTGCTTTTGTAAATAAAGTTTTATTAAAACACAGCCACATCTATTTGTTTACATAGTGTCTGTGGCTACTTTTGTGCTACAATAAGAGTTGAGTGGTTGTAACAGAGCCTGTGTCGCCCACAAAGCCAAAAATGCTCGCTACCTGCTCCTTTGCATAAGAAGTTTGTTGACCTCTGCTCTAGAGTAACCGGGAAACAGTATCATCCCAGACACTGAACCACCAAGCAGAGAATGCAGGTCCTGACTACACACCAATCCATGGCTTTGAGCAGCAAAAACGGAAACAGGCACATGAACTGTAGGCACACAGCCAGCCATACGCACAGGCATGCTCTTTTCTAGAAAAGGGAGAGAGTTTTTGTCTTGCTTTTTTTTTTTTCTTTTTTGAGACGAAGTCTTGCCCTGTCACCCGGGCTGGAGTGCAGTAGTGTGATCTCAGCTCACGGCAACCTCCGCCTCCTGGGTTCAAGCGATTCCCCTGCCTCAGCCTCCTGAGTAGCTGGAACTACAGGCATGCACCACCACGCCCAGCAATTTTTTGTATTTTTTAGTAGAGACGGGATTTCACCATGTTGGCCACGATGGTCTCAATCTCCTGACCTCGTGATCCTCCCTCCTTGGCCTCCCAAAGTGCTGGGATTACAGGCGTGAGCCACTGTGCCAGGCCTGTCTTGCTTTTTTTTACAGTAATACCTTGGTTGAATTTAAGGATGGAAACTACACACACAGAATTCTTACACGCATGAGATAGCCAAGATAACAACAACTAATATTTAAATGCCGAGAACACTGACTGGTACCACTCGCACTCTTAAGGACAGCACCCTGGAACTACATCGATTCCAGTAACCATCCCACGCTCTACCCACTTCACCTGCAACGTGCCAGAACGCGTCGTAGAGAGATGGAGATGCTGGATGAGGATTGCCAGGTATCAAGCCAGCTCCAAGAGCTCTGATCTCCCAGCCCTAGGCCCCAAACCCCAGGGCCCTGCATTCACCCTCTGACCACCAAGAGGCGGCTGCAGAGTGAAGAGGAGAAGGAAGCAACACCAGAGGGGGACAGAACCACGGCTTTGAAATACACGCTGACTGTTCAAATATCCTCCTCACCACTGACCCTGCCTCCTTCCTATTTACAGCCAACTATCTGTGAAGATCCTTTTCTTTTGTCCCCTGAAAGGTCACCAGTGACCCTTGGAGACCAGCCTGAGATGCCAGGGACCAGGGTCCCAAGCCATCATCCCTGGCCCAATGCTCCTGGCCAAGGTGAGCAGCATCTCCGCAGTTCCTTATCCCTCATGGGAAAGGCTGTTCTCAAGGGAAACCATCACCAGCTCTGCTGAGGGCAATTCTGCCCCAAAGGGTCTCCTAGGTCTCAAGTAAGTGTCTTTATTATTTCTGACAGTGTTGAGTTGCGCCAGACTGAAACACATACCTCCAAAAGGGAAAATCACTTTATTTTTATTTTATTTGAGTTTACTTATTCCTAAGGGACTTGATGATCTCGCTGTCCATGACTGCTTCCTGAACATTCCTACGTTTGAGGCAAGACTTTGGACGCCTCCCCTCTGGGGAAGGTATCTGCTCTGCAGAAGTGGCCTTGTCTTGGCAACATTCCCTTCAAGGATGCTAATGCCTTAGGGCATGAATTACTTGCTTTGGGGTACTAGAGAAGTACCAGAAGCTTGGTATGGGCTGAGCTATCCTGATGGCATTTTCAGAAGGAGAGGTACGTGAAGTTAAAGTACTTGCTGCTCAATTTCAGATAGATAGTACTTTGTTTGTACTGCAAATGGCATAAGCAGGTCTGTCCTGCAGGATGCTGGGAAGATGACTGCATAACATTCGTGGGATAGAGAAGCCAAGTTCTCAAGTCTTCCGATGAAGGTGACTCTGGCTTGTGTAATAAAGTATTGGCAGAGATAGCCGAGGCCAGCATGCATGCTAGAGGTTCTGCAAACACTGTCATTCGGCAGTGTACACGATGATTAGTTGTCTCATCAAGGAGAGCTTAGAAGAGGTCCCTGCAGAGAACCACCCACTCTGGCTGAAGGACCAGCCTTTGTGATCCAACCAGCACACCTCCTATTATGAGGTCATGTCTTGCTTATCCTGAGACCGCTGGTTGGCAGAGGTCTTGAACTATTAAGAGTACATGAAGTTAATCTATTTATTTGCTCATCGATCTCTTTTTATGAAACACTGTAGAACCCTGAGGTGCAAGCAGCATCATTTGAGATGCCTCTGAGGCAGGATAATGCGTGGGAGAGACGCGTTCTTCCCGACACCATCCTGGTCATTTGGGGCTGGCACCATGATGGCTCTGGAATGTTGGTGGCTGTGCCCAGTGACAGGCAGGAGAGAAGTGATGGTTCCCCGTGGGGCCTGCGATTCTTGGTGAAGCAGCAGTTGTTTCCAGGAGGAGACGTGTGATGAGCATTCATGAGAGCCCTCAGGGACATCAGAAAATACTGGATGGAAAGAGTTTGCACCAAGTGGAGGTTTTACATTGCAAGTATGGGCTGGAGCCAACAAGTCTCTGTTATGATTTTAATAGTTGCCACTGTACACAGAGGAGGATGAAGTCTGGATGAAATTTGGGCCACATGAATCTATTGGATCCTAGATACCAGCATTCTATTTATCTGAATAAGATAAAATTCATGGCAATTCAACCTACTTCTGGAGAAAGACCAGCTGTAGACAGCAAACAGTCTCAATAGAATCTTTTAGAAGAAATATATGATGTAACTCCAATTTATAAATAACAGAAGGTTTCAAGTCAAAATCCTAACCAATCTGCTTTGATCTCATTGAACAAGACTCGCTTGCAATGAATGACTGAAGTGGATATAAAACATGAGTTCACTTATATGTGTCCCATGAAACTTTTATTACTCATTTATCCTTCTTACCTAGAACAATGAACATCATCGCAGTGACAACCATGCAGAATTAGCAGAACCTGAATTACTCCAGATATTCTCATTCTTAAGTTCTGCTCAGGAAGTGTATATTCATGCCAAGGCCATGGCACTCAGGTACGATATTAGAAATTTTCAAGGTAATTCACATAATGACTTATGAAAGAAATAGTCCACTAATTCCAGAATACAATTCTGTCAAGATTGAAAACTCTTTTTAGGGCCACAGAGTATTAGACTTGAAAGAATTTGGGAGATTATTGCATTTCCTAATAAAAGCACTGCCATGGTAACAGGTGATCTGCTTTCTGCTTGAATATTTTTAACTTGGGAGAACTTACCATATCCCAGTACAGCCTGTGTAATATTCTGAATAGCCTCAATTATTAGAAAGCTCTTTCTTCTATTAAACTTAAATCTTCTTTTTAATAACTTCTAACCCATGGCCACTGGCTTTGTTCTCTAGGATTATATGGGGTAAAAATAATCCCTGTTGCTCACATGGGCCCCTCACACTTTAAAGACAGTTATCATGTGCTTCTATCATGTTACCAAGACAAGGCCACTTCTGCATGGCAGTGCTCTTATTAAGAAATGCAATAATCTCCCAAATTCTTTCAACTCCAATACTCTATGGTCCTAAAAATGTTCTGTTGTTTAAGAACATTCCATGTTCCTTCCATTGCTCTTCAGATACTTCGTTCATCCAAGCTCACACTAGCCCCTTTCCACCCTCACAATTTAGCACTTCTCAGGTCAGGCTTGGGTAGTAAAAAATTTGACCTTTCCCAAAGATAGATGTGGCCTTTTCCATGAGCTTCTGGGAGGTAAACTACATCATACTCACTGGGAGTGCCTTTGTTATGGTGAGGGTTGGCCACATAAGATCTTAGGGTAGGATGGGCCATACCTGATAGTCATATGGTCCAAGCTGGTTGCAAGAGAAGGATCAACCATGTGATTTAGGGCAGGGGCTTTGGGGTCACACAGTACCAGTCCACCTGGAGACTGAGTTAGACCACATGGGAAATCAATCAATCAATCATGCCAATGTAATGAAACCACAGTAACAACTCTGGATACAAGGCTCAGGTGAGCATCCTGGGTTGGCAGTGCTCCACGTGTACCATCACACACGGATGCCGGGAAGGTAATGTAATGTGTCCTGACGACAATGGAAGCGTCCCTTTTGAAACCGTCCTAGATTCTGCCCCATGTGTCTCTTCCTTTGGCTGATTTTAATCTGTCTCCTTTCCAACATAATAAATTGTAGCCATGAGTATTTTCCGTGAATTCTGTGAGTCCCTCTAGAGAATTACGAGCCTGAGGGTCGTTTTGGGAACCCTCCAAACATGCAGTTGTCACACGTGACAGTGGTCTTGGGTGGGCTCTTTCTGCTAACTTTGTAGTTGGACCCTAATTGCTTGCAGTAGGTGTCAGTAGTCTTGGGCCGACTTGGCAGACTGGGGGCCGTGCTCTCCATGTTTGAAGTTTGGCTGATTCTGAGGAGCTCATCTCAATAAGATCCTAAGAACCTTGACTATAAGAGCTGTGTTTTCATTTTGCCCTTTCTTTGCAGTAACTCAGCCAATATGTACAACTTATTAGCTCTAGGTCAGAAAGGAGAAAATCCTACATTTATTTTTATTCAATGTAGCATAATCAGGAGTTGGAATGTCATCACTTTGATGAAAACCCAAAACAACAACTTAGAAGGTGAATTAGTGGACTTTATAGACAAATAGAAAATAATAGATCCATAGATTTCTCCTGAATCAATAGACTGCCAAAACTTACATATTCTAATGAAGTTAAAGATGAAATGAAGATGTGCTGAAAGATTCGGTAATAAGACCCTGTGCACTTACTGAGCATGCAGACTGTTCTTTAATAGATGTGTGCGTATTTGATCCACCTGCAGGATCAGATTAGGAATAATGATGTTTATATCATTACTGCAATTTAGAATGCAAACACGACTCTGACATGTTTCACATTGTCTGAAGTTTCACTTCCTTTTAAATTTTTTTTTGGCCTGAATCATTATCCTGAGTTATCAGTGCTTTGCAGTAGACATTTCCATAGACCTGTCATTTTTCACAGAGCCTTTGCAACGGTCTGTGACCAGCTTTACTGGTGGGGGGGATAAGGAAACATCTCAGTTATGTTGCATTATAACCATTACACATCTTTTGAGTCAAGATGAGCTCATTGTACTATTTAGAAACTTTGATCTCCTTCCACTTTAAATCATCCTCAGGTTTAGGAGTATGTGCTAATCACAGTGCCAGAGATCTCTGCAGCAATGCAAAAGGGACTTAGGCACTGCTGGGTGAGAGAGAAGGGGTCAAGAGTCATGTTGTCATAGTAACCCAGAGGCTCTCCCTTGATTTTTTCTTACTCTTGTCCTTCCCCAGGGACTTTTAAATAATTCTCAGGAAGAAAGAAACTGCAGAGCCCAAGTGGAATTCTGGATATAATGAAATCCTGCCCCAGCCTGGTGGCTTCTCTCAGATCTTTCCTCCCGGCTTGCCGCTTCATCGTCTCTGAACCTCCTGTGTCTCCTTCGTGATAAACTTGCATTTTTAGAACATTCCTGTGCTTTTCCATGAGTGTGAGTGAGTGTTTCAGGTAAGAAACATATGTGAAGTTTATATTTGATGTGGCATTTTGACAGCACCCCTTTCTGTAATTCAATCTACGATCTCCCTTCAAGGTTGACATTAGAAGTGTGTAGAATCTGGGCTTTGAAAAATCTGCAGGTGTATTCAGAGTTCTTTCAAAAAGACGTGTTTACTAAATAAGGCCAGGAAATATCTGAAAGGGTTTCATTTACTATTTTCTATCTGCCCCCTAAGCAAAACCCTAAGATGGCAGCGCGCAGCGGGGACTGGGCCTAAGATGGCAGCGCGCAGCGGGGACTGGGCCTAAGATGGCAGCGCGCAGCGGGGACTGGGCCTAAGATGGCAGCGCGCAGCGGGGACTGGGCCTAAGATGGCAGCGCGCAGCGGGGACTGGGCCTAAGATGGCAGCGCCCAGCGGGGACTGGGCCTAAGATGGCAGCGCCCAGCGGGGACTGGGCCTCGGGGACTGGGCCCAAGATGGCAGCGCGCAGCGGGGACTGGGCCTAAGATGGCAGCGCGCAGCGGGGACTGGGCCTAATATGGCAGCGCGCAGCGGGGACTGGGCCTAAGATGGCAGCGCGCAGCGGGGACTGGGCCTAAGATGGCAGCGCCCAGCGGGGACTGGGCCTAAGATGACAGCGTGCAGTGGGGACTGGGCCTAAGATGGCAGCGCGCCGTGGGGACTGGGTGCATTATGGGGCTTATGTTTTCCAGCTCTGGAAACCCAGGTGAGTCCCTCTAATGTTCTCCAAAGCGGTACAAGATGGTGCTTTGGGGAAGAAAATATTGGAATTTATATTTATTGATCTCATTCTTTAAAAAAAAACAATGGATTTGAGAGATACAATACAGTATTACCAACCAACTTATTCAGTGACTCTCTTATCCCTCCACATTCCTTGGAAAGGTGAAAGGGAGGTTAAATAGGACTAGGTAAAGGTCTAGGCTTGGTAATTATACTAGATTACAATTATGATTACTTCCAGCCTCCAGACTTTGGTAGAGCCAATTTTATGCTCTCTATCCAAATAAAATAGACTATGCAAGTTTGAGCCCCAAGCAGCTGTTGCATTTGTATTCACTTGACTGTGTTCTGATCTTGTGCACACAAAAGGCAGACAGGTGTAACCTTGCTCCATCAGGCTGCATGTCAGTGGGCACGCCTTGTGTTACAGGGTAACCTTCCAGGAGGGATGACAGAAACCAGCTCATTAGGCCAGGCCAGTTGCGTGGTAACATCACCCTGTCCGGAGGGATTCAGACTGGTTTGGGAGGATGCATTTGTTCGTGAAATGTCTTTCTTCCTGTGATTTCATGCGCACGTCTGTCCCTGTGCCGTGGCCTTTCTGTTTAGTCAGCAGCGTGAAGCTTAAAACAGGATTCTCATTGTCAAGGTCAGGACGAGCCACCTCCTTCCACCCCTGCTCCCTGCTCCTGACCAGTGGTCTTTCCAGCACTCAGTTGGGGATCCCGAATATGGTTCCAGGAGGCCTGGTGAAGCGCCGATGCCACCAAGACTGTTATTCCCCGAGATGGAGTCCTCGGGGCTTGCCCAATGCCACCAAGACTGTTATTCCCCTCAGGGCTCGCCCGATGGGCTCAGACTGGCATGACCGTGGCTGTGTGTGTTACTTCATTGACTGGCAGTCTGGAAGGACTCCCCCTTATCATGTGATGGTGACAAGAAAGATGATTTGGCGGCTTTGGACCTGGAGCTGGGAGGCTGAGTGAGGAGGATGAAGGTGCCTTCCTACACATCCCT
Organism: Homo sapiens; assembly: GCF_000001405.40. Taxonomy (NCBI): domain Eukaryota; kingdom Metazoa; phylum Chordata; class Mammalia; order Primates; family Hominidae; genus Homo; species Homo sapiens. The sequence continues at coordinate 245,671,936 of NC_000001.11, read as the reverse complement.
GCCCGCTCTGCAGGCTCGGGGCACGCACCCCTCTATTCACTACGCCCTGAACACGCTGTGAGCTTTCGTGCCTCTCCTGCATCGGTGCTCATCCCAGGTTTCAAGTCAGAAATGCCCTTTCATCTCTGTCTATGGAAATTGTTTCATGTCCTGCTCAAATCCATGAATCCACTCATTATCATCCACTACTAATCCTTGTCATTCAGAAAAACAAGGGGAAAAGTCTGACAGAACTAGCAACCCCAAGGGACTTGTGTCCTTAGAAATCACCTGCCTTTTCCTATTTTTATTGTGGTGAAATATACATAAAATGTCCTATTGTAACCTTGCAACTAAGCGCACAGTTTAGTGGCATTGCGCCCGTTCACATTGTTGTGCAACCATCACATCCTTTATCTCCAGAACCTTCCCAAACAAACAAACTCTACCCATTAAGTAACAACTCCCCACTCCCTACTCCCCCGGCCCCCGGTAACCACCATTCTACTTTGTGTCTCTATGAATTTGCCTGTGCCAGGTACCTTGTATAAGTGGAATCATACAATATTTGTCCTTTGGGGTGTGGCTTATGTTACTCAACATGCTTGCAAGGTACATCCGTGTTATATTAACAGCATGTATCAGAATTTCACACTTTTTATGAGTGAATAATATATTCCATTAGATTTGGAAGCAACCTAAATGTCCATCAACAGGTGAATGGATAAAGAAAATGTGGTATATATACACAATGGAGTACTATTCAGCCATGGAAAAGAATGAGATCCTGTTGTTTGCAACATCATGGATGGAAATGGAGATCATTTTGTGAAATAAGCCAGGAACAGAAAGACAAACATCACATGTTCTCACTTGTTTGTGAGACCTAAAAATCAAAGCAATTGAACTCATGGGCATAGAGAGTAGAAGGATGGTTACCAGAGGCTGGGAAAGGTATTGGGAGAGTATGGGGGATGTGGGGATGGTTAATAGGTTCAACCAATTTTTGAAAGAATAAGATCTAGTATTTGAAAGTACAACAGGGTGACTATAACAACTTAATTGTACGTTTTTAAGTACCTAAAAGAGTGTAATTGAATTGTTTGTAACTCAAAGGATAAATGCTTGAGGGGATGGATACCCCATTCTCCATGACGTGCTTATTTCACATTGCATGTCTGTATCCCAACATCTCATGGATCCCATAGATATATTCACCTACTATGTACCCACAAAAATTAAAAATTGAAAGATACATTCTTTTCCATGAAACGTATATTCCATTATATTTACATACCACATTTTCTCTCCTCATTTGTGGATGAACAATTGGGTTGTTCCTACCTCTTGGCTATTATGCTTAATGCTACTATGAGCATTGGTATACAAGTATCTGTTTCATTTCCTGCTTTCAATTCTTTTTTTTTTAAATGAGACATTTATTTCACTACAATACAAAAAAAAATGATAACTAGGACAGGTGACAGGTGTGTCACCTAACTTGTGTTAATAATTTCACAATATATATCAAATCATCACATACTACACTCTAAACTTACACAGCTTTATTTCTCAACTATCTCTCAAAAAGTCTGGGGGAAATATGAGACGTTTAATATTGAAGGAAAGGAAACTAAGTTGGTAACACTAGACATATACATTGTGTGTGTGTGTGCATATATATATATATATATATATATATATATATATATGGATATACACACGCATACGATGGAATATTATTCAGCCTTTTTTCTTCATGCCCAGGTTTATTAAAAAGTGTTCTTCTAAAGATAATGTTACTGAATGTTTATATTTATTTATTTTATTTAATAGCTTTAGGGGTCCAAGTGGTTTTTGGTTACGTGGATGAACTGTATAGTGGTGAGGTCTGAGATTGTGGTGCACCTGTCACCGAAGTAGTATATGTTGTACCCAAAATGTAGCGTTTTAATCCTCCATCTCCTTTCCCCTTCGGAGTCTCCAATGTCCATTCCTCCACTCTGCCTTTGTGGACCCTCAGCTTAGCTCCCACTTATACCTGAGAACATAGGAATGTGGCTTTCCCTTCCTGAGTTACTTCACTTAGCATAATGGCCTCCAGCTCCCCTGCTTTCCATTCTTTTGGGTAACCTAGGAATGGAATTGCTGGACCATGTGACAATTCTATATGCGACTCTTGGAGGAACTGCCACACTCCTTTCCACAATGACTATGCCATTTTACATTCCCACCAGCAACGCACACGGACTGCAATTCCTCCACACCCTTGCCAACACTGATTTTCTGTTGTTGTTTTAATAGCTACATCCTGCTGGCTAGGAAGTGGTACCTTCTTGGGGTTTGCTTTGCATTTCTCTAGCAACTAATGATGCTGAGTATCTTTTCACGTGCTCCTTGGCTGTGCATATATCTCCGCTGGAGAAATGTCCATAAGATTCCTCTGCCCATTTGTGAACTGGGTGTGGTGATGGTTGTTGACTTACAGGAGTTCTTTATATATTCTGGATATTAATCATAGACATATGATTTACAAATATTTTCTCCCATTCTATAGGTTGTTTTTCAACCTCCTGATAGTGTCCTTTGTCATATAAGATTGCCTTTTCATTTGTAGGGAATACTTCATCAGTCTTCAGTTTAACTAATTTTTCTTTAGCATCTGTGGTTCAGAAGCCTTCTAACATAGGCTATACCTGTGAAGAGAGCCTAACGATGAGAGTGGCCCATGATTCCCTGTGCTGTTTTGTGTTAAAGATACTTGTCCAATATGATCCTTATTAGACTGCTAACCAGTCATTGGCTGGGGAAAACTTCAGGGGCTATTGTTAAGTGCATTTTCTGTGTATTGTCGAGGAACAAATTTCTTTTGAAATCAAGCATAACCTAGGATAAGGAAGATGATGAAGCCAACTCTATTATGATGCCTTCTGGGTATCATGTGTGGTTTAAAGAAACATGATCCTGGCCAGGCACAGTGGCTCATGCCTGTAATCCCAGCACTTTGGGTGATCTGAGGCAGGCGGATCACCTGAGGTCGGGAGTTCGCGACCAGCCTGGCCAACATGGCGAAACCCCATCTCTACTAAAACTACAAAAAATTAGCCAGGCATGGTGGTGCGTGCCTGTAATCCCAGCTACTTGGGAGGCTGAGGCAGAAGAATCACTTGAACCCAGGAAGCAGAGGTTGCGGTAAGCCAAGATTGTGCCACTGCACTCCAGCCTGGTGACAGAGCAAGACGCTGTCTCAAAAAAAGAAAAGAAAAGAAAAGAAAAGAAACATGATCTCCATGATCCTACAGTTCTCACAAAATGCACCAACTGGATAACTGGACTGGCACTTGGCACAAAGAACAGTGCATAGTAATTGGAAGGAATTAAAAGGAAATTAAGCTGAAGAATGCTTTCCATTACCAATACAAGCCTGAGAAAAGACGTTACACAGAAGCCACAACTCATACATTAAGTAACTTAAGGGAGAATCTACAAAATTTTAAAGGAGAATGATGTGGAGGAATTATCCATTTCTTGAAAAAGAATTAAGATTAGAGTTTTTTAGTGATGTTTATTTTGTTTGAAAAGAAGGTAGCTATTGTTGCACAATTCTTGCATCTTTTAAGTTGGTACGTTTGATAAGCTATTCATTTCTGACATGGGATAAATGTAGTTTGTGTTCAGGCTCTAATCACTGTTATCCCTGCAAGACCCTAACTGAGCCGTTTCTCAAAGTCCTGCTGCGGATAAGAAGATAAGGAAATAGGGGGCCGGGCTTGGTGGCTCACATCTGTAAACCCAGCACTTTGGGAGGCCGAGGCAGGCTGATCACTTGAGGTCAGGAGTTTAAGACCAGCCTGACCAACATGGTGAAACCCCGTCTCTACTAAAAATACAAAAATTAGCCAAGCGTGGTGGCGTGTGCCTGTAATCCCAGTTACCTGGGAGGCTGAGGCAGGAGAATCGCTTGAACCTGGGAGGTGGAAGTTGCAGTGAGCTGAGATTGCGCCACTGCACTGCACTCCAGCCTGGGTGACAGAGTGAGACTCCATCTCAAAAACACAAAACAAAACAAACAAACAGAAGCAGCTAAGGAATTAGGAATTAATCACATCTGACTCATGCTACTCATGCCACCTCTTTGGTCCCTTTTGTTTGTCTGTTTTAGCTTCAAAACATCTCAGAGCTTTTCAGGAGTGCTGCGAAGGGACTTGGTGAGTTGCCTGGATGGCCCAAATGTCACTCCTGCCACCTCCTTCCTGGAGAACTGCGTAGGATGGGCAGATGCCACTTCTCTTCTTCCTGTATAGCCAGGACCTAACACAGTGTCCGGCATAAAGTCGTCTTTCTATAAGTATTTAAATAAGTATCTACTGGGTGTACCTCTCCATCACAAGAAGTCTCCAGCTTCCCAACCCTACAGCTTCCAAAGCATCATCTTTTCTTTTTCTTCCTAGGAGCCACAGTCAGAATAAAACCAAAGCAGGCCAGGCACGGTGGCTCACGCCTGTAATCCCAGCACTTTGGGAGGCCGAGGCAGGCAGATTGTCTGAATCCAGGAGTTTGAGACCAGCCTGGGACACATGGCGAAACCCCATCTCTATTAAAAATATTTAAAAAAGTAGCCGGGCATGGTGGCACACGCCTGTTGTCCCAGCTACTTGGGAGGCTGAGTCAGGAGGATAGCTTGAGCCCAGGAGCTTAAGGCTGCAGTGAGCCGAGATCGTGCCACTGCACTCCAGCCTGGGCAGAGTGTTTCAAAAAAAGAAAGAAAGAAAACCAAAGTAGACGATGCTGCCTTGGGCTGGAAGGAGTGCCTAGCATAAGGCTCACGGTCCCTCCTACGTCACAGCAGAGAGATGCTTTCAGCCTCCCATCACATCCTAGAGGACAAGCCATGACCTGCTTCGTTCTGCACAGCTCACAGTCTTCAAGGGTGGATCACAGCAGAGACATTTTACACCAACATTACCATCAGGCCCCTCCTGATGTACAACGTTCCCCGAAGAGGAACAGTCAGAACCACTGCTGTGCCCTCAATTTGAGGCCAAGACTCTGGCCAAGCCACTCAGACCCCGCTGTTAGCTGTGTCTGGGTTACCACCCCCAGGCTATCCTTATACTGATGCTGCACAGGTACAAAGGTCTCCAGAGCAAAAATGTTTGATCCCAACGGGATATTTGAGTTAAAAGGGCGGATAACCCTTTTAACTTGTCCGTACCATTTGGTACGGACAAGTTAAATACCTCTGGCATGTAAAAAAGGTGTTTCAAAAAGGGCCACAAGCGTCATCTCTGCTTGCCGAGGAAGCAGCCGCCTATGTGTTAGCCTTTGGGAGGTCTTGTTACAAAGCCTAAACCTGTCCCATCCTCATTCCTTTGCAGTAACACACAGAAAGCCTTATTCAAACAAATAAGCTACCTCCGATTGTTCATTCAACAAGCATGTATTAAGAACCTAGGGTACAGGAACCCCTCCAAGGGCTTTAATTCGGCTGACCAGTTGCTCACTTGCCTAGAAGTCTCAGTGTATGCCTATCACCCTGCATCCTGTCTGGTTTATTTTGTCCTGGATTTTTCATTTCTTTATTCAAAATACAAGTAGTTATTACTAAGACTTATTAAAATGAGATGGAAGAATTGGATAGACTTTCACTTTCTATTTCAGTGGTCTCATCTAGGAACATATGAGGTTATGTGCAGTGAACAGAGTTAGCACTTTAAGACATAATGTCAGGAGTTCAAGACCAGCCTGGCCAATATGGTGAAACCCCATCTATACTAAAAACAAAAAAAATTAGCCAAGTGTGGTGGCACCTGCCTGTAATCCCAGCCACTTGGGAGGCTGAGGGAGGAGAATTGCTTAAACCCAGGAGGCAGAGGTGCAGTGAGCTGAGATTGCACCACTGCACTCCAGCCTGGGCGACAGAGAGAGACTCCGTCTCAAAAAAAAAAAAAAAAAAAAGGACATAATGTTCCAGCCAGGAGCAGTGGCTCATGCCTGTAATGCCAGGACTTTGGGAGGCTGACCGCGGGTGGATCACTGGAGGTCAGGAGTTTGAGACCAGCCTGGGCAACATGGTGAAACCCCAGCTCTACCAAAAATACAAAAATTAGCTGGGCATGGTGGTGCGTGCCTGTAGTCCCAGCTACTTGGGAGGCTGAGGCAGGAGGATCACTTGAACTCGGGAAGCGGAGGTTGCAGTCCTGGGTGATGGAGAAAGACTCAGTCTCAAAAAAAATAAAAAATAAAAAAAAGATATAATGTTCCAAGCTGAGAAACTTATTATGCTGAAATGTACCTGTAATTGATGTACCTATGTAATTCATAACTGAGCTCAAACACAGTTCTAATTCTACCCAGAGAAGCACAAGCTATAGTTTTTGAAATGTGTAAAATTTACATAAACTGAGAGTAACTGAACTACAAAAATTTTTTATGAAGTTTAAATTGGATTAAAAACATTTCATCAGTAGAGTGTGCGGTTCTCTCTTTGCTGCCTGTCAAGTTGGATTTGAGAAATATTTGACACTTGAAATAATGAAATGATAGGAAATTGCTGACATTAGGCAGCTTTTAACTTTAAAACATACTTCATGAGTCAATCCAAATGCTCTACAAAAAAAGTACTCCAGTTTTGGAAACAAGTCATCTAAATTTTGATGGCTTGTGGTTCAAAATAAGTTGTAATCCATAATCAAGTGTTCAACCAATGAAACACAAAAAGCTCAGCCTCTGAAGCCTGTAATGAATTGCAATGATTAAAAACAAAATTTGCAAACAGGGGACCCTGAAATATAGATGACAAGAGCTCAAACTGTATAGAAGATTAAAATGTGAAATTCTACAAGTATGCTCTGGAAATTGACTTGTGGGAAGATCCTTTGAAACTTTAACACACAATATTCTCACTGAATTGAGAAATGTATTTCACTGAAATAAACTTGTAATTGGTGGTTGTATGAATAAATTCACACTTATTTTTAAACAAACTGTGATATTCTATCAAGAGAAACAGAAGCCACAGTTATCAAAAACAGATGGTTTGATGTGTTAATGCACATAAACATATATGTAAATATATAGGTAAGGCAGTTGGATTATGTGAAGGAGAAAAACGCCCTGACATTAACAATAGAAAAAATAGTGTTAAGAAAAATACTACTGAAGTGGTATTAGAAGATAGTGAAGACAATGATTAAAATACACAAAAGTATATTAAGTGATTATTCTGCTTATTTTTTAATGTCCAGATAAACAATATAAAGCAGTTTTAACCTTTTTCTACTTTGATGTATTTTCTTTTATTAAGAAAGCATTTCATGTTTGAAAGTAATTTTTGAATAGAACTGTTTTATAGGTTCACCAATATAGACGGCTGTGTCAGAAAATATTTCAAAACATGAAATAATAATAATTAAGTGTCCCTTTTCACTCTCAAAAGTGGCTTCGATAATAAGTTATATGATCTCCTTACTTATTTAAAAGAAGGAGAGGTGTGTAACAGGAGAAAAAAAAAAGCAAAGGAGCAATATGATAGGCTGGGTTCCTAGGAAAACCTTCTTACCAAGTACAGTTAAATGTTGTGGATTTTTTTTTTTTTTGAGATGGAGTTTCACTCTTGTTGCCAAGGCTGGAGTGCAATGGCGTGATCTCGGCTCACTGCAACCTCCACCTCCCGGGTTCAAGCGATTCTCCTGCCTCAGTTGCTGGGATTACAGGCGCCCGCCACCATGCCCGGCTAATGTTGTATTTTTACTCGAGACAGGGTTTCTCCATGTTGGTCAGGCTGGTCTTGAACTCCCGACCTCAGGTGATCTGCCTGCCTCGGCCTCCTAAAATGCTGGGATTACAGGCGTGAGCCACCATGCCCGGCCGTGGATATTATTTTTAAGTCTTAGTAAATGCATTGTTGAACCTGCAAAAAGGTAAAGAATCCTCAGGCCAAAAAAAAGCAAGTGAAGTTGGGAACTCAAGATAAATAAGCAGAACAGGCAAGCTTTCTTTCACCCCAAAGACATCTGCCCAGCCAGGTAACACCCTGCTGAGTTTTATGTGGCAGCAGTCAAAGCTGGAGGCCTGCTCCACATGTGAATTTTCACAGGAAAATCAACCCCCAATAATTGTCCCTTGTAGGTATTCAAGACATGACTGTCTTGAAATAAGCACTGAGCAGAGGGGAAAGAAACTGTCCTGAGAATTGCGAACCCTGGTCTGAATTACATGCAGGTTTGCACGCTTAGTTCTCCATATCTGGGTGGTCAAAAATATTTCAAGCTGAGAATGTAGTTTAGACTATCCTCAACTGGCACCTGGTAGAAGTAAACACAAATGCTGTCTGGAGTAAACTATCTTTATCCCAGAGCTTGCAGAATTCTCACAAATAAAATGCCAGTGAAAATGAGTAGCCCCCAGACACAAATAAACAAAGAAACACGGCACCATGAGAAAGAGCCAGCAGAAACCACAGATGCAAGAATGAGATGTTCAAACCTAGATCACAAATAAACAACAAAAAGTTGATTAACATGTTAGAGACAATTAAACTGTTTAAAGAAATAAACAAAAAAAAATGATCACAAATGACAAAATTTCTGCTTCTGGCCATGTTTGAAAAATAGAAACTGGATTTACCCTCCAACCTTAAGCAACTAGAAAACCAAACAAACTATAAGAAAAAAAAAATGGGTTTCTGATACTGGGTAACAAGCAGCAGAGGAAAGTCATGTCTGAGAGAAGGGGAAAAGATGAGCTGAGCCTTGTAAGTGCCCCAGCTTACTGCCAGGAGAGAGGTTCCAGGCCCCCAAACACGACAGGGGACCCAAGCAGAGCCAGGCAGCCACATCCTTCTGAACAAGGAAAAGTCCAGACTTTGGGGAGATCAGGGCAGCTAAAATTTGTAGGACAAAATAGCAGAAGGGAAGAATGGAGAGAGATACAAAGCAAGAATTGGAGAGATAGAAGAGGGGAAAGAGAATAAGAGAGAAAAAAAAAAAAAGACAGAGGTGACCTGAGAGCAAGCAAGAGCTCTCTGGAGCCCTCTGGTTGAGCTCTAATCCACATGTGTACAAAAAAACAAGCAAGGCCACAGAAAGGAGAGTTGGAATAATCCTTGAAGCCAAGAAGGGATTGGAAGTCTGTGTTCAAGCAGACAGAGTGAGGAGATCTGTTTATACCCAGGGCATGCATGTGTGTGTGTGTGTGTATATATATCATTGGGTATATATGCATATTGGGTGTGTGTGTATATGTATCATTGGGTTTATATATATATTGTATATATATGTATCATTGGGTATATGTATGTATTGGATGTGTGTGTGTGTATATATCACTGGGTGTGTATATATATTGGGTGTCTGTGTATATATCATTGGGTGTATATATATATAGGGTGTGTGTATATATATATCATTGGGTGTGTATATATATTGGGGGTGTGTGTATATATATCATTGGGTGTACATATATATATATTGGGTGTGTGTATATATGTATCATGGGGTGTATATATATATATATATATATCGGGTATGTGTATGTATATATCACTGGGTGTATGTGTGTGTATATATATATGGTGTGTGTGTATATATCACTGGGTGTATATATATATAGGGTGTGTGTGTATATATCATTAGGTGTGTAAATATATATAGGGTGTGTGTGAGTATATATATCATTGGGTGTATATATATTGGGTGTGTGTGTGTATAGATATATCATTGGGTGTATCTATATAGTGTGTGTATATTATATATATCATTGGGTATATATATATTGGGTGTGTGTATTATGTCATTGGGTATATATATATGGGGTGTGTGTATGTATATATCATTGGGTATATATATATATTGAGTGTGTGTATGTATATCATTGGGTGTATATATATGGGGGTATGTGTGTATGTATATCATAGGGTGTGTGTAATATATATATCATTGGGTGTATATATATTGGGTGTGCATATTATTTATGTCATTGAGTATATATATATATGGGGTGTGTGTATGTATACATCATTGGGTGTATATATATATTGAGTGTGTGTATGTATATCATTGGGTGTATATATATGGGGGTATGTGTGTATGTATATCATAGGGTGTATATATATATATGGTGTGTGTAATATATATATCATTGGGTGTATATATATTGTGTGTGTGTATGTGTATATATATCATTGGGTGTATACATATAGGGTGTGTGTATATATAACACTGGGTGTATATATATTGGTGGTGTGTGTGTATATATGTATAACATTGGGTGTATATATATATATTGAGTGTGTGTGTCTATATATAACATTGGGTGTATATATATATTGGGTGTGTGTGTATATATATATCATTGGGTGTATATATATATTGGGGGTGTGTATATATATATATAACATTGGGTGTATATACATATTGGGTATGTGTGTATATTGTATATAATATATATGGTGTATATAATGGGTGTACATATATATGTGAGTGTATGTAAATCATTCCTCAGCGTCCTCAGAAGGTTACTGCGCTAACAGTGGGATCAAAGCAGCCCTAGGCTGTGCTGCACCTGCCTTTGCAAGGCTTAAAAGGCTCAAAAGGAACAAATTCCAAGTAACTGTGGCGATTAGTAAATACATTTCTAAATAACCCACGGATCACAAAATAATTAAAATGGGCCAGGCGCAGTGGCTCACACCTGTAATTCCAGCACTTTGGGAGGCTGAGGCAGGGAGTGGATCACTGGAGGCCAGGAGTTTGAGACCAGCCTGGCAACATGCAAAACCCCATCTCTACTAAAAATACAAAAATTAGCTGGGCATGGTGGCAGGCGCAAATAATCCCGGCTACTCGGGGGGCTGAGGCAGGAGAATCACTTGAACCCAGAAGACAGAGGTTGCAGTGAGCCAAGATCATGCCACTGCACTCCAGCCCGGACAACAGAGTGAGACTCTGTCTCCAAAAAAAAAAAAAAGAAAAAAGAAAAGCCAGGGATGGTGGCACACGCCTGTAGTCCCAGCTACAGGAGGTTGAGGCAGGTGGATTGCTTGAGCCCAGCAGGTCAAGGCTGCAGTGAGCCAAGATCGCACCACTACACTCCAGCTTCAGTGACAGAATGAGACCCCGTCTCAAAAAATGATAATTACAATGAGAAATGGAAAATATTTTGAGTGAATGATAGTGAAAATACCTGTCATTACCAGAACTTGAGGATACAGACAAAGCAGTACTTAGAGAGCAACGTAGGTGCTTACAGAACAAGAAGGGGAAACTGCCAAGCTAAGTAGCCACCTTAAGATGAGAAATAAAGAATGGCAAAGTAGGGCTGGGTGCGGTGGCTCATGCCTGTAATCCCAGCACTTTGGGAGGCCAAGATGGGAGGATCACTTGAGCTCAGGAATTCAAGACCAGCCTGGGCAACACAGTGAGACCCTGGCTCTAGAAAAAAATTTTTAAAAATTAACCAGGCATGGTGGTGCACACCTGTAGTCCCAGCTACTCAGGATGCTGAGGTGGGAGGATCGCTGTTGAGCCCGGGAGATCAAGGCTGCAGTGAGCTATGACCACATCACTGCATTCTAGCCTGGGTGACAAGACCTTTGTCTCCCCTACCCGCCCCCCCAAAAAATAGCAAAGAACAGAAATTAATAAATGGCAAATGAACATGCCCAGAACTTCCCTGTACTTAGATCCTCACGACACCAGCGCCAAATCCATGTGATAAATGACTATTACTAACAGGCAGTTTCAGTAATTCAAGCTTTGGGGTAAATTCTAAGACCTATTTGCTTCCACCAAATTCTAGACATGTGGAGAGTTGTAGTCATAAATAGGAATCTATACCTGCATCTTGTGTTTATTATTATTGCCATAGAAAAAATATTCACAGCTGACTTGCTGGAACTTTTTTTTTCTGAGATGGAGTCTCGCCCTGTTGCCCAGGCTGGAGTGCAATGGCGTGATCTCGGCTCACTGCAACCTCCACCTCCCGGGGTTCAAGCGATTCGCCTGCCTCAGGCTCCTGAGTAGCTGAGATTACAGGCATGTTCCACCACGCCTGGCTTTTTTTTTTTTTTCTTGTATTTTTAGTAGATATTGGGTTTTGCCATGTTGGTCAGTCTGGTCTTAAACTCCTCACCTCAAATGATCCGCCCTCCTTGGGCTCTCAAAGTGCTGGGATTACAGGTGTGAGCCACCGCGCCCGGCCTACTTGCTGGAACTGCTTACCTCTTTCCTTGAATGTACTTGATAATGTGACTTTTAACTGCTTTATGCCTTGTACTCTAATTTGTGCACATTTTTTCCTCTGTCCTACTGGTGCAAAAGCTCTCTGCATTAGCCCTAATGCTTAGACTAGTACTGTATATTTTGAAGATGCTTGATAAATTTGTCAAAATAACCCGGTAGAGCAAATATATGTTTGCTATTTTATCTGGCTCAGAAAATAGGGTTATAGCTTCAGTGCCTCTTCTCATCCTAAACAGGTGACAATACCACAAAACATATACTTTATCCTAGTTTAGATTGGGGATCCGATGGCCACAGGAAGCCTGCGGGCACAAAGGTGTCCTCTGGGAAGCTGGGCAGGCTACCACAAAGTTGAAGGTGGGTGTCAGACTCATATCTGTCACTAAAGATGCAAGGTTTAGATCAGGCTGGTTTCATTCAGATTAGTGCAAAATCGTAAGGAAGCTGAAGAACAAGATTCCATCATTATTATTTTTTTGAGACAGGGTCTTGCTCTGTTGCCCAGGCTGGGGTGTAGTGGCATGATCATAGCTGACTGCAGCCTCAACCTCCCAGGCTCACGCAATCCTCCCACCTCAGCCTGCCGAGTAGCTGGGACTACAGGCACACGCCACTATGCATGGCTACTATACTTTTAAATTTTTTTTTTGTACAGATGGAGTCTCACTATGTTGCCCAGGCTGGTCTTGAACTTGGGCCCAAGTGATCCTCCTGCCTTGGCTTCCTGAAGTGCTGGGATTACAAGTGTGAGCCACTGCATGTGCCCTCTATCATTATCTAGATGAGCTCATATGATAGGAGAGGTATATGTAAACAAATATTTAAAATATAAGTGCCTACATTAAAATACCATTTTAATGCCATTGAGTTGGAAGATGGAAACAACTTTCCTGGAGCAAAGAATTAGGAGGGGGGAAAGGAGATCAGAGAAGGCTTGAGAGGGGAGATGATATTTGAGATAAGCCTCAAAGAATAAGTAGGAAGGAATCCAAGAATTTTTAGTATTATTAATGGAAAACTGATTGGCTGGGTACAGTGGCTCCCACCTGTAATCCCAGCACTTTGGGAGGCCAAGGCAGGAGGATTGCTTGAGCTCAGGATTTCAAAGCCAGCCTGGGCAACATGGTAAAACCCCGTCTCTACAAAAAATATAAACTATTAGCCAGGCATGGTGGTGCACACCTGTAGTCCCAGCTACATGGGAGGCTGAGGTGGGAGGATCACTTGAGCCTGGGAGTGCAGCGAGCCTTGTTGGTGTCACTGCGTTCCAGTCTGGGTGACGGAGTGACACCCTGTCTCAAAAAGAAAAGAAAACTCACAATGTAATTGACCATATTAAATGATTAATGGAGGAACCAAGTGAGCATCTCATTAGAGCAGAAATAGGTTCGATTAACTTCAACAATCAGTTTTTAAAAACTTGTTAGAAATCCACCCACAGAAGAATATTTTGCAATATCCATCTACAATGGAAAAATCGTACAGCAATGAAGATTAAGAACCTGTAGCTGTGCGCATCAAGATGGATCTCAAAAATGAAATACTGATCAAAAGAAGGTACGGAAGGGCATAGAATAGAGTATGATTTCATTTACGTAACGTTCAACAGCAGACAAAACTAAACAGTATGTTTTGGGGGGACACATACTTAGGTGGTAAAACCTATAAGACAAGCAAGGGGATCAAAACCAGAAAATTCAGCACTGTGGTCACCGCTGGAACAGGCAGGAGGGTGACGGAAGGCAGACGATCACACAAGGGCACCTGAGCTAGTGGAATGTTCTATTTCCTAACCTGGGTGGTGGGCACACAGATTTTTTGTCATTCTATAGACTGAGTAGGTGTGTTTCTACATCTGCATATGCAACACATCTTACAATCAAAACATGTCAAAGACATAAGAAGAATCTCACAAATGGAGGAGGAGCTCCAGTACAGTACTGGAGTAGGGTATGTTCTTGGTAACTATTGATTGAATGAATGAATGAGTGAGTGAATGAACAGCCGCTGGAAGCAGAAGAATCGGCATCGGCAAAGCATGTGACTGTGGGGGTGGGGTGGGGTGTTCAGTCATCTCTATGTAGTTTCTATGGTCAGAAAGGTAGGTGTGGCCCAAATTCGGAAGAGCTCCATAGGCCACAAAAGGGTTTCAACTATCCTGTAGCCAACAGGAAGCCACTGAAGGTTTTAAAGACTGAGAGACATCAGATTTGCATTTTAAAGGGGCCTTCTGGCAGCTATGTGGAATGTAAAGAAAACAAAAATCCCGTCTTCACCAAAAGAGTTCTCGGAAGGAAACAGTGGATATGGCAGGTGCCCTTAATGAAGGGAGCAGTGAACTTTGTTCACTGTGTGTATGCAGCTACTGCAATTAGTTCTCAGCGCGCGATTTCAGGCTCAGGGGTGACAAGGTCTCGTGGGAGAAACAACCCTTGATAAGTGGTTTGAAAGACACCAACGCGGTGTTTTAAAGACAGACACATTTGACCCTCAGAAAAATGGGCATGTCAGGGCACAAAACTAAAAAAATGTATGCTTATAAATGGGAGGCTGCCAAATCTAGAAATGCCCCCCAAATTTTCATTGATCTCATCGGTAGGGAGTGAAAAGAAAGAAAAGTGAGGATAAAAAGAAACAGCAACTGTGGTCATTGCCCTAAAGAACAGAGTATCATAAAGTCTCTTAAAAGCCGACTATTCCTCAAACCACCTCTACTTCTGTGGTTCTCCTTTTGTTATATCAAAATGAAATTCAGCTCTGTTTTAGTTACAAAATTACTAGGTACATTAGACAATTTGATACAACTTAACTACTCCACAAATGTAACTATTCAAAAATTGTTCAATTAGACATGAAATAAATGAAATGAATGAATGAATTACACACAAAACCTCATTTGCATGAACAAAAAAAAAAATCTGTTAATGCTCAATTG
This sequence comes from Homo sapiens, assembly GCF_000001405.40. Classification (NCBI taxonomy): domain Eukaryota; kingdom Metazoa; phylum Chordata; class Mammalia; order Primates; family Hominidae; genus Homo; species Homo sapiens. Next base: position 245,656,780 of record NC_000001.11, on the reverse strand, counting down.
GGCCTGAACCAGTTGTGAAACAGGTGAGAATTTATGGTTGGACACTCTGACTGAAGCTCTATTAAAGCTCAAGACAGATTTTTAATGAATTAATCCCCAACACATTTGTATGCTCCATCCTGTCCAATGCCTAATTGTGCCTAAATCAAGCCATCCTTGAATAATCACAGCCCCCTGTGGGTGCCCAAGGGCGTCTTGGGCTCTCCGTACTGTCCCCAGACCAACCTAAAGCCCTCCTTCTCTGGCTGTTTTGTTTCTGGTTATGACACAACTTGTGATATGATGGTTAGTCGTCATTAAAGATCACACTCAGCTGTGGATTCAGAGTCTTGCATTTGGCTTAGTGGTTTGTCATGATTTGTGTTGGATCATCTCTATATCAAAGCAGGGAATGACAGAACAGGTGTGAATGACTCAGGCATTTAGAGGACGGACTGTGGCAAACTTTGGAAGACACAGATGAGCGTGAGTAGAGAATGAGTGGGACTCGAGGAGGAGAGAGCTTGAGAATCACCGCTCTGTGCCATTCCTCAGCCCCACCCGACCCCTTCTTCCCTTAGTGCCGATTCAGCGCTGATGTGCGTATATTATCAGTTACTCGGTGCTCAGTGTCTGTATTCCTGCTACACTGTAAGTTGCCCAAGAATGCAGATCATCTGTTATATTCCTGGTATTTATTGTAGGGTATTTTTGAGTAAATGAATAAATGGAAAACTTAGATTTCTGCTATACATTTCTCAGATTATTTTCTCTGTATGTTTGGTGACCTCAATTAGGCTTAGAACCAGTTCCTTAAATTCCTCCACCAGTTCTTTTGGGCCAGAATCTACCTTGCTGATCAGAACAGCACCGAGTTCTATGGATGACAGAGTTAAATGTTATGAATCACGTGTGGTGTAAAATGTAAAGTGAAATTTATATCAAAGTTGGCCTTGACAATCTCTGAACGAAAACCATTCTCTCACTAAGTCCAACACAGACAAGTTTTACTCCAGCATTAAAAACATACCACCTCTCCGGCTGTGCAGCAGAAGTACTCGGCTTGCATTTAAAGGCCGTATGAAAAAGGAGTATCTTTAAATATTCAAATCACGCCCCAGTCACTGGGATACACAGATACAACTGGGGGTGCAGCAGCATCGAACCCCCACCCCAGGCTCATTCTCAGGCCCATTGGACTGTTTGAGGGCAGAGTCCTTTGCCTCCTTACATCATGACTTCACTTTCGTGCAGAGCCTGTAGAATTCTCTTAAACCAAGTATCTGTATCAGGCAGCCATGCTGTGTGTTAGGCACACAAACTCTCATTGAATAAATGCATGAGGGTTCATTTCGATAGACGGTAATTATCTACTTGGTCAAAAGAAAAGATGCGTACTTTCAAAGTCAAGGAATGCACAGAAGACAGGATGGTGGCAGAACCACGTGGGTTACACGATTCTGAAAGATGATAAAACAGTGACCTTTCTGCCTTTGAAGCACGTCTCTTTGTCTACCACAGACATCGTCTCCATGGAACCTACAATATGTTTCTGAGGTGGACGAGGAGTAAGAATGATTGAGATTTTGCTGATGGAGAAATGAAAAGCTCAGGGAGAGCGTCTGAGTGTGTGAGGTTAGCCGTGGCAGGGGTGCTAGAATCCATCTCACCGGGCCTCAGCTCAGCACTAGCTCAACGGCGCAGGTTGCAATCCATCTCTTTAGAAAGCACAGCGATTCCACCACACATACTTCTCTGGGAGCTCAGTCTGAAGAAACTTCACAAATTCCAGCTGAGAGGCTGATCACCTTAATCTGCCAGTTGTGGAATTTCCCAAAGCTTCTATTCTTAGCCAGATGTTTGAGGAAAAGCTCGTGATCTCACTTGCCAGCCCTGCCGTCATTCTCACCTCTTGCTTATCTCTTCCTTACCTTTCTTGTACTCAGCAAAGCTTCAAGGCACAGCCTGGGTGATAACCTCTCCTGCTCTGACCTGAACCTATTCACTCAGGAATGCCTTTGCATACCCAGGAGGGGCGGGAGATGGAAGCTGTCTTATCAAGTGGGCTGTGCCCAGTGTCTGGTTCTCCACTGTGGGAAACGGTCACCCTTCTTATGCAGGAGCTGCCCCAGATAAATCAGGAGGCCTTCGTGGGGGTCCTGGAGCCAGAGAAAGCCTGGTGGAGTCCTGCAGTTTCTCCCATCAGTGCGGCGTGGGAAGTGGCTCCATGAACTGTCAGGCTCTTTCACGAGAAAGATTATAGCTATATTTTATTAAAGGCTCATGAAATAGGGTGAAGCTTTCTGAGAGGATACCCTCCATTGGTGGTGCCCAGAACACGGGACCCAGACTGTCAGGCCCCACTGACAGCCATTTACTGAGGTTAGGATGCCTTCTAATCTACCCGGAGCCCTGCACACAGGTTCAAAGTCAGGAGCGTCTCGTTGCTTGTTACATTCTTTTTAATTTTATTTTTTGCCCCCTCCCCACCCCTCATCATTACATTCTTACTTGGTATTTTTTGTTTAGCCCTGATAAGTAGCTTGGGTCCTGAAAGGAAGATTTATTTCCCTTTTTTACCTTTCGTATTTTACATTCTTCATTGCCATGGGTATCTAGCCATCAGCCTGGCTTAGCAATCACAGAAACAGGTGAGACCAGGAGACCGACCTGAATGTATGAATTGGCTACCATCAGCCCTGCCCCTCGGGTCTGTGCCTTCATTCATTCACTCACTTAGAGGCAGGGTCTTGCTCTGTTGTCCAGGCTGGAGTGCAGTGATACGATCATAGCTTACTGCAGCCTCAACCTCCTGGGTTCAAGCGATCCTTCCACCTCAGCCTCCCAAGTAGCTTGGACTACAGGTATGAGCCACCATGCCCAGCTAGTGTTTTAATTTTTTTTTGTGGAGACGAGGTCTCCTTATGTTGTTCAGACTGGTCTCAAACTCCTGGGCTCAAGTGATCCTCCTGCCTAGGCCTTCCAAAGTGCTGAGATTATAGGTGTGAACCACTGTGCCCAGACTGTGCTTTTACTTATAATCAACTACACATATGCAAGCTTTGCTGGTATGTTTGATCCTCTGTTGTACCCCACTTGTTATTGCAACAAATGTTGACCGAGCACAATATTCCAGAAACTGTACTCGGTGGGGGGTGATAAACTGGGAGGCAGTGAGGCCCTGTTGCCTATTAGCTGTGTGAACTTGGACAAGATACTCAACCTTTCTGTGTCTCAGTTTCCCCATCTGTGATACTAGTATGATTACAGTACCTATGTCACAGGTTGTCAGAATGAAATATCCATAAGGCATTTAGCAGAGCTTGTGAGGCACAGTGAGAACAACGCCCGGCTGTGGTGCTCACGATGGGAAATACTCTCACCGGGGGCTCATTTATGCACCGTGCTAACTACCTTCCATGTAGCTGAAATGCCAGGAAATAAGTACTAGAAATCATTTTCTCCTCCTCCCTGTGGTCCAGCAAGTCCACGAATTAGGAACTTCTACCCCTTTAGCAAGATCAAGATAGAGTTCCCGCTCTCGGTTCTGCCCTTCTATTCACTTCCTCCAAGGGAGGAAGGAAGAAGGTCTGACTGCTGAGGCTGGTGAACGTGAGCCTGGGTGACAGCTGGCGCTGTCTGCCTGTCCCTCCCCTGCAGGCCACACCATTCTCTCCTCCACTGAGGCCGTGGGGTTGGGGAAGGGGCTGTCTACCCTTTCCTACTCTGCTAGGATTAGCAGGCTTTTCATTCCCAATCATTCTCTTGTATCTATCTGATCATTGGTTCAGAATTCAGAAAGACTTTAATAGTAACCCCAGACATTAGACATAAAGGAAGATACACTTGAAAGGCCAAAAGGGAAAGGAAGACGCCTTCCAATTTCTACCCAGCCCCGAGACCATCATGTGCCATTACGCCACAACGGCTGCTGCAGTGGACAGACAAAAACATGAGCCGTGGCTTTGCCGCCAAGAGATGATGACAGAGCTGGGGCCTGATATTCTGTTCCCAATTCAGTGAAGCTCTGAGAGGGGCCAGAATGTGGTCCTCTTAAGAATGAAAAGGACGAGGTGTAGAGTTCATGTGTCAAACTAGCGGCAGAACAACCAAAGCTTGAACCCAGTGTTTGTGACCCCGGCCGATCCCCAGACGGTGTCATTTCTCCCTGAGTGACTGGCGTGGTTCTATAATGAGCCTGGCAGAATTAATGTAGTGGCAGCTTCTGCCTCAACTCTTAAGAAAATAATAACAATCTCTCGAGATTTCTATAGCTAAATATGAAGATACCGCTAGCCAAGGAAGCAAACAGAGCTAAGGGGGAAAAATAAAAGCAAGTGAGAATGCTAAAAATCTCATAGAAAAGGGACTTCGATGTCCCAGCGACATTCTGAACTCACATTCTCTGCATCCTAACCATCACTAAAATGTATAAAAATGAGTATTTCTAAAGCAGCAATACTAAGAATTATCATTGCTGCAGTTGCCTGGCAACCTGAGACTTTGGTTATTTTATTTCTAAATAGGGAACGCTCTAAACTGGTATCTAGAGTTTGTGCAAATAGTTCTAAATTGATATTCTCCCTGTAAATCAGGGGGAGAAAATACAGCATTAATGTACATTTAAAGGAGGTTAAATATGCATATGTCTCTCTCACACACACACACACACACACACACACACACACACACACACACAGATTCTTACATGAACCTCTCCGTTTCATGCTATCTTAAACAAATCTGGAGAACTGATACTCCTTTGCATTTTTCCTGGCAAATATCTACTTAATTTCATGGTACGTCTAAGTAATATACATCCAAGTCCTGAGGAAGAGCCTTTCCTCTCCTGTGTGAGATGGGAATTCAATGCCATGGCTCCGCAGTCCCAAACCCTTTTACCTTTTTGGCACCAGGGACAGGTTTCGTGGAAGACAATTTCTCCATGGACCCAATGGGAGTAGGGAATGGTTTGGGGATGAGACTGCTCCACCTCAGATCATCAGGCATTAGATTCTCATAAGGAGCGCACAGGCTAGATCCCTCGCACACACAGTTCACAATAGCATGAGGTTCCTATGAGAATCCAGTGCCACCACTGATCAGACAGCCAACAGCCCTCAGGTGGTCATGCTCCCCCACTGCTCACCTCCTGCTGTGCAGGCTGGTTCCCAACAAGCCAGGGACCTGTACCAATCTGTGGCCTGGGGGTTTGGAACCCCGCTCTAGCTAACAGCAATCTTGAGCCCCTTTCCCCAGCTTCCCAGACCTTGAGTACTGGGTTTCCAGTTCTGAGAAAGGAGAGGCTAATCCCAAATCTCCATGGGCTCTAGGAGGAAGCACTTCTCCAGGCAAGGAGGGGAATGTCCACATCCTTCAGAGGCTCGTCCTGAAGTTCCTGCCAATGCTGGGCCTGCTGCCACAAGTGTGACCCACAGGTGCCAGAACCCCACCCTCTCTTGGATGAGAAGGTGCTTGCATTTTGAAAAAGCTGCCTCTACTTATGAAGTGTCATTTCCTTTCAAGTCACTGATTTGAACTTGAGCTTCTAGTGCTGCCTGCTGCTTTGAATGAACTGGTGTGTCCCGATGCTACAAGCTTAAAGATGACCTTGGTTCCTGACTCCTCACTAGGGCCTTAGGAGGAAAAGAGTTCCCATTATAGCCCCTGAGGATGGGTGTCCTCATCGCTTTTGTGGAACACAGCCTTCTGGAAGTGGATGTTGCCTGCGGTGTTTGCTCGTGGCCTGCAGCTTGGATCACAGATTGCCTCAGGCTCTACCAGAGAGAGGAGGAGGCGAGCTCAGCACAGCTGCTGAGACCCAAAGTGTCTCAGTGACTGATCTCAACAAACAAGGATTAGGTCTGGGTCTGAACCATAGACCAAACCCGTGAGAGGGAGGTGCCGGGCATCATTTCCACGACAGGATGGTTATGTAGCACCATTTTTCAAGATGACTGGGAGAAGCATCTCAGACAGGCATGACATGAGAGGGCCACAGAAGGACTTTCCATGAACTCTTGTTAAAGGGCAGCCAAGACATTAGCAACTAGCTGTTGTTTAGAAACAGAGTGTTTAGAAACACTGTGTTGGCAAATAAGCAAACAGGTCATATGACCCATTAAAGGAATTCTTTCTCCATATGGAGCAGCAGTCATCAATGAAGGTAAATGCTTCAGGGCTTGAAGGACGCCTGCATGACAGGTGTGTGCTTTCTAAGGGCCTGTGCCCTCTACAAAGCAACATCTAAGAGAACCAGAAATTCTATTTTGAGATAATTGGGTCATGGTGAGAATCTGAGTCTCGAAAAGCTGTGGTCCTTCAGATGAGCTGGGACATAACACCCGTTAGCCGAAGCTCAGTTCACCCTGACAGATCCTTGTGGCGGTTCTTCTGGGGGCCAACTCCTGTGGGATGTGCAACACTGGGTTTTGGCCTGAGAAGTCATTTCAACGCTTCTGCCTATTTTTTCTTATCCATTAAATGGGAAGATTCCTAGCACCTTGGTGCCCAAGAGCAGTAAGGAACAGCAAATGAATGTACCGAATAAAGAAAATTTGCAAATGCACTGTCAAAATGATCGAATGAGGGCAGGGTTCCCTGGAGGTGGAGGCTCTCAAAAATTAGAGAGTAATTTGTGCAGCCTGTCAGTGCAGAACTGACGAGGGGTTGGAGCCCTTGGTGGTCTCCCTGCCTTCCCTGCATGCTTTTCTGAATGGTGCCACCGTTGAGAACTGATTTATGGCGCCTGGACTGGCCGGCAAGCCTGTGCCATGTAATGTGCCTGTGCTGTGTAATGGCTGAGGTTGGAAACCTGCTCCACGCCTCCTGCATCTTCAAGGGCAATATCATTTGCAAAGTCAGAAGCATTCAGCGCACATGGAGGGTGCCTGTGGGAATGCCTGGGATGGGTAATGAATCCAAACTCACTTTCCAGCTTGCTCACATGACAAATAGCCTGGTAAGATGATGAAGAGGAATGAAGACAGGCTACAGCCCCTCTGTGCACATTGCAGCGAATTTCCCAGGAGCAAGCACAAGTAATGCAGGTTCCAAGTACAGAGTTGTCTGGGGAGACAAATGAAGAGGTAGTGGGGTGTCTGTGTTTTTTGGGGGGGGTGGGGGAAGGAAAGAGAATATGGAATTTGGTTTTCTATTTTTGTTCCCCCCGCCACCCTCCGTAAGTGAGCAGGAGGAGTAAGAGGAAACCTCAAGGGCAGGAAACTTCCACTTCTCTAAGGAACGCACTGCAAAGACAAGGCTTGACACCCTGAAGGTGTTTAGTATGCTAACAAAATGCTGCATAATGTGGCTTCAGAGCACTGACGGAATTGATCAAAGAAATCGGGGCTTTCCTGCTGTGCTGGGCTCCCCTGCCGTGCGCAGTGAAGGCAGCTCCGACATTTCGGGAGCTTGATGAGAAGTGGGCGTGGGTCTGCAGTGAGGCTGGGAACTGTCGAGGCCTCTGAAGCTGTGAGGAGCGAGGCAGTTTGATCCTGCCACCCACTGGCTGGGTGATTTGAGTAAACCTTTGCCTTATCTTCCTGTACCTCAAAAGAGGACAGTTTCTAGTTGATGAATCACTTTGTAAATGTACATTTGCAGATGCCAAATATTGAATCTAGGCCGTGGTCCAGACTCGGAGAAAACATTTCGGCAAGGGTCTTTTTAAGATCACGTACAATGAAGGGCATTAGGACACTGAGGGGTGACAGAACAAACGCACTGGCCAATGGATGTTTTGGGAAGGACAGCGCTGGCTGGATGGCCAGGGCCACCGTGTTTCCAGCACCAGGCAACCCAGCAAGGTCTCGATGAGTTGTGTTAGGCAGGGCAGGGCAAGGGCAGCTGGTGAGTCTGTACCCACGCCATCAACAGCTCAACCAGGCCACGGGACAGCTCCAGGATTGGGTCTTGTGCTGACACTGCATGGAAGCTAGTCTGCTTACTTGAGACACAGAAACACTTTAATGATCACTCTCTTGGTGCCAGAATAGAAGGAAGGGGACTCCTGGAATGAAGGCAGGCAGCTGTCTGCAGGGACTGGTGAGTGGAGATGTCTCCCAGGAGGGCAGGTAGCCAGTTGGTAGGGCCAGCATGTTAAAAATATGCTTAATTAACACGAAGCTTGAACGATTAATACAAACTTTCATTTATTTTTTTTTTTTTGAGACAGGGTCTCACTCTGTTGCCCAGGCTGGTGCAGTAGCGCAATCTCAACTCACTGCAGCCTCTGCCTCCTGGACTCAAGCCACCCTTCCACCTCAGCCTCCCAAGTAGCTGGGACTACAACCATGCAACACCATGCCCGGTTAATTTTTGTATTTTTTGTAGAGACAGGTTTTTGCCATGCTGCCCAGGCTGGTCTCAAGCAATCCTCCCGCCTCAGCCTCCCAAAGTGCCAGGAATATAGGTGTGAGCCACCACGCTGGGCCATAAAAACAATTTTTAATGTTTCCCTACTCATTTATAAAAAACCCAACTCTAACTAAAAGGAAGTTACTTTAAATTAAAAATAATTTCATGTTTACATGCATCTATCTTCCCGCCATCAATTCAACAACTATTTATAGAAATCATAAAAGCATGTCGCCCTGCAGAAACAGTGTAAAAGCTATAAGTAAGATATGTAATCAATGACCTCCTGCTAAGGTGCAATTTGGAATTTTATCTATATCATGATCTATGAAGTTCTGACATTAACAGACATGATTCTCATTTTATGGAAACCAGTGAGTGCTAGTACTCTTCCCTTCATCTCCAACTCCAACGGTTTCCCTCCCCTGCCCTTTCTCCCCACAAGCTGAATTTACTCAACTACAGAAATGACATCGAATGAAACTCTATAATTCTTCAACTCAGAATATTCTCCCATAGAAAAGGGTTGTTACAAGAGCCGGGAAAACCATTTCTGGGTTTATCCAACTAGGATTCCAAATTTCTAGAAATGAGATGGACAGGATTATAATCACCATTTAAGCTCCTAAAGTCAGTCCAGTAATGGTTCTCCTGGTAGGAAATAAACTCACAATGTATTTGGTGGGGGGGTCTGGCATCAACATAGGGCTGAGGGGAAGAAAAACTCCAGCACTCATTGTGAATCTCAGTAATTATAGAATACACTGCCCGACTTTTTCCTCCTACACAACAGCAACGTAGGTTTTGTAGGGTTTTTACAGATAAAACCATGAATCCACATATATTTAGTTAATCTTCACCTCATGGCAACTCTGTAAGGTCGGTGTTTTTTCCCTTTAAATAGGTGAGGATAGGCTTGACTAGATAGGTGTAACCAGACTTTCATCATTGGTTATTGGCCATAGTGTCCTAAATTCTACAATAAATTTTCTTTTTTTTCTTTTTTTTTTTTTTTTTTTGAGAAGGAGTCTCGCTCTGTTGCCCAGGCTGGAGTGCAGTGGCGTGATCTTGGCTCACTGCAAGCTCCGCCTCCTGGTTTCATGCCATTCTCCTGCCTCAGCCTCCTGAGTAGCTGGGACTACAGGTGCCCACCACCACGCCCAGCTAATTTTTTGTATTTTTAGTAGAGATGGGGTTTCACCGTGTTAGCCAGGATGGTCTCAATCTCCTGACCTTGTGATCCACCCGCCTCGGCCTCCCAAAGTGCCAGGATTACAGGCATGAGCCACCGCACCCAGCCTACAATAAACTTTTATACATGTTTTATCATTTTGAGCCTTATATTTCTGTGATGTAACATGTATAGCTTTAACCCTCATTTTAGGAAGAATGAAGGTTCATGCAGCTAGTAAGAGGCTCAGCTAGGCCTTGGCAGAAGCCTGGACAGCCAGTCAATGGCCTGCCACCACACGGTCCAATGAGAACGCTTAGTTGGGGTGATGGTGGTGGAGTGGCTTTGTCTCTGCCAGACATAGGAGCGGCTGTAATTTAATTGGAGCAGTAGTAAAGAGACAGGAAGGATCCTGGAAGTGACTAAACATTTGCATGGGAAGGCAGGTGCTAACTCCCCTAGCTTTCTGAACTCCCGAGATTGGGTTGCCAGATAAAATACATGTCACCAGGAGCGTCCCATGCAATGTTGGGGTGCATACTTATAATACAACCTTATTTGTTGGTTATCTGAAATTTGAATTTGCCTGGATATCCTATATTTTTTTGGTTAAGTCTGGTGGCCCTACCCCTAAGGATAAGCCAGTCTTCCACCCCTCACTCTCATCACTATGAAACAGGCACATCTTTATTATGGTGACAATGACCCACCACCTTCATTTGCGAGTGGAGACCTCAACTGAGATAATTTCCTATTTCCTCTAATTTGAGCAGCCTAAAGTTAGAACTGGAATAGATTTAAGTATTTCCAAAAGTTTTGAATTTGGGAGATCATGCATTACACAACTGTTAGCTAAGGCTGGTCTCTGGCACTGAACTTATAATGGGGTCCAGGCTGTCCCTCTGTGGCACACCTCTCCACAGATGGCACTGAACAAAGCGTCCCACACCATGCTTACCCCACCACATTCTTTGAGTAGAAGAGTCACTTACTTGTATGGAATGTGTTTGCTGCCATTGACGAGAGCCAGGATGACATTGCCCAGAGCAGACAGCGAGAGACACAGCCCTGAGCCTCCTTCTCGATTTTTGCTAAGAGCTTTCACACAGCTGCCGAGATCAATGAGATGCAGGCGGCTGCGACCTCCAGACACTACCACAGGGGAGAAGATAAAAGAGAAATGGTTAAGTTCTGACAAACACTCATCTGTTCTTCATGTAGCTCCTTGGGAAATCTGAGGCAAAATGAGAAGGGGAAGTAAAAGGTTGACGTTCATGACCTACTAGGAAACCCCAGAAAAATCACGCTGGGGTTGCAAATAGCATTGGTCCTCTTAAATTCTTTCCACCACGCACCACTGACCTTCTAAAGCCTACTGACATTCACACTACAAATAAGTGAATTCAAATAATTCTTGCAGGTTGAACTGAATGAGATTTTGGAGAAAATAAATGTCAAATTACAGGAGGATACGTTTCTACCTAAATGCCATTTGAATAGCAGAATTCTGAAACTCATCAAGTTAAAACCTGAATGGCTCATGAGTGATTACCTGCTTTGGTTGATCGTTATACAGAAACCAACCTAAAGCTCAGCCAGGAATCAGGTTGCAAACCCAAGACAAAAATCAGGAAGAAGTAACGACCAGGTGCAGAGACAGGGAAGACCCAAATATTTGCTGAGTATCTGCCAAGTGCCAGGTGCTGTACAAACATCAGTTTCGTTCAGTTCCCACAGTAGAATCATAAGCTAAATACTATTATCCTTTCTGTATTGATGAGAAAATAACTGTTCAGAAAACTTAAGCAACTTGCCCATGAATACCTCTGCTGCTGAAGTACAGGGAGACCAAGGTGGCAACAATTTACAAGACAGAGTACTGCAGAGGAGAGAGCTCTAGAGATTTGCAGAAGGTCCCTCAAGTGTTCAGCTGAGTACTGATCAGCACACCTGATGTAGTTTGGATGTTTGTGTCCTCCAAATCTCATGTTGAAATGTGATCCTCAATGTTGGAGATGTGTCGTCCACCCCCATGACCCAAACACCTCCCAGCAGGTTCCAACACTGAGAATCACAGGCGTCGTGTTGAAGTGTGATCTTCAGTGTTGGAGATGGGGCCTGGTGGGAGGTGTTTGGGTCTTGGGGGTGGATCCCTCATGAACAGCTTAGTGCCCTTCCCATGGTAATGAGTGAGTTCTTGCTCTTTAACTTCATGCAAAAGCTAGTTGTTTAAAAGATGCTGGCACCTTCCCCCTTCTCTCTCCTGCTCTCTCTTGCCATGTGACACGCCTACTCTCCTTTCACCTTCCACCATCATCGTAAGCTTCCTGAGTCCTCACCAGAAGCAGATGCTGGGTGCCATGCTTCTTGTATAGCTTGCAGAACTGTGAGCAGAATAAGCCTCTTTATAAATCACCCAGCCTCAGGTGTCTTTTACAGCAATGCAAAAGGGACTAACACAACATTCATGTGAGAAAACTATTCAAGGCTCAGAAATTAACTACCTAAAAAGATTGGAGATAATGGTGCACAGCACTCACACAAAGCCAGGAATAGTGCCACTTCCTAACAGCCAGCCTGGAAAACTTCACAATTCACAGGGCATTGGGTTGAATACCCAGAAGTCTTTCCCATACTTAGCCACAGACTGAACACTGACCTGATCCCACCTAACACATATTAAAAGCAAAACAAAAAAATGATCAAACTGTTTCCAAGTAATGCAACTGCATTCTAAAACAAAGCTTAAGAATATTTACAAAGTAAAGACTCGGGAAAATGAAACCCATAATGAAGAGATAACTGAAACCAACCTAGAACTAGCATAGATGTTAGAATTGACAGAAGCAGCTATTTATTAAAACAGTTATTTCAACTGTATTTCAGATGTTCAAAAAGTTAAGTAGAAACATGGAATATATATTTAAAAAGACACAAAACTGAACCTCTAGAGATAAAAACTACAATGTGTGAGATAAAAAAAATATAGTAGATGAGATGAATGGCAGATTAGATATTGCAGAATGAAAAATCAGCAAATTTGAAGATCTAGCAATAAAACTATTCAGAATAAAATATATAGGGAAAAAAAACAACAAATAAAACACAGAAAAAAAAGAGCTGTAGGACAACTTCAAGTGCCTGCTATGTGTAATTGGAGTCCCTAAAGGAGAAGACAGAGTGTGGTACAAATAAAATATTTGAGAAAAATAATGGCTAAAACTTCCCCACATTTAATGAAAGTCATAAACCCATGTATCCAAGAAGCTAAGTGAGCCCCAAGCACAAAGGAAGAAACTATATCAAGGCACATCATAACCAAACCGCCCAAAACCAGTGATATAAAGAAAAATCTTGAAAAGAGCCAGAGAGAAAAAAGCACGTTACATATAAAGGAACAAAGATAAGGATGACGGCAGATTTCTCATTGGAAATACAGGTGAGAAGACAGTGGAGCAATGTTTTTAAAGTACTAAAAACTGTCAAGTTAGAAATATACACCCAGCAAAAGTATCATTCCAAAACAAAAGGGAAATAAAGATATTTTTTGACTTAAAAATCCTAAAAGAATTCACCATAAGCAAAAACACAAGGAATATAGACAAAGGAATGAAGAGCTTTGGAAATGATAACCACATGGGTAAATATGTAATTTTTATTACTTTAAATCTCTTTAAAAGATTATTATTAAAACAAAAATCATAATGTAACGTGTGAATGATGACATATGTAAAATTAAAATGTTTGATAGCAATAACACAAAAGTCAGACGGGAGAAATGGAAGTATACTATTGTAAGGTTTTTATTCCTTATATAAGTGGTATAATATCACTTTAAATTAGACTGTGGTAACTTAAACATATATATTACAAACACTAAAGCAATAATTAAACAATAAAAGTAATAGCTAATAAACCCACAGAAGATGGAAATTGGAACCATTTAAATGTTTCATAAATCCAAAAGAAAGCAAAAAAGAGAGAGAGAGAACAAAGATCAGATGGGACAAATAGAAAACAGAAAATAATATTTTGAACCAAACCATATCAATAATCATATGAAATTGAAATAGTCTAAAATACCCTTATTAAAAGGCAAAAATCGTCAGATTGGATAAAAAAGTGAGGCTCTACTATATGCTTGAGAAATACACTTCAAATAGAAATAAACAATCATTTAAACGTGTAAGTGTGGATAAGGCAAACAGTAACCATAAGAGCTGGAGTGGATCTACCAATATTAGACAAAAGAGACTGAAGACAGTCAAAGACCTATCCCATTTGTGCTAAGACCCGCAGAGAGGCATGTACAGCACCTCCTGCTGCAGTCGTGGAACTATCCTATTGATGCAGTGTCCTCCTGGGAAAGACATGCCTTCTGATACAAGACTGGGCTCTCCAGCTTCTATTCCACAGCAGATCCCAAGAGGGCCCAGTCACAGCTCCAGACCCTCTCTCTGTAATCAGATAACTATTCTATCTCTACAGGAACTTGCTGGGTGACACACACCCCTCTGAGCTGAGACTGACCCCTTCAGTATCTGTCTCACAGCAGATCTTATGAGGGCCCAGATTCTGCTCCAGCTCCTCCTGCTGATAGTTGGGGAACTATCCTGTCTATGCAGGGACTTACTAGAAGATGCATGCCCATTTGAGCCAATGTGGCAGGTATGCCAGCCTCCATTTTTTTTTTTTTTTTTTTTTTTTTTTCTGAGACGGAGTCTCGCTCTGTCCCCCAGGCTGGAGTGCAGTGTTGCAATCACGGCTCACTGAAAACTCTGCCTCCTGGGTTCATGCCATTCTCCTGCCTCAGCCTCCCGAGTAGCTAGGACTACAGGCACCCGGCCACCCTCCATCTTATAGCAGACCCTGAGGAGGCCCAGTCTTGGCTTTAGCTCCTCCTGTTATGGGCAAGAAACTACTCCACTTGTGCAGAGACTTGCTGAGTAACACATGCCTGTCTCAGCCAATGAGAAAGGCCCATCAGCCTCCTTCCCACAGCAGATTCTGAAGGGGTCCAGTCTCAACTTCTGCCCCTCTTGCTATAGTTGGGGACACAACCTACCTGTGCAGAGACCTGCTGGGAAGTAGACTTGTCTGGGAAACTAGGACAGTCTTCAGGACTCAGGTCCCTGGTGGCCAGTGTTCCCACATAACACAAGTACCGTCATTGGGTCTTCCCCAGGTCCGTTTGGGCCAGAAAGCCATTGTGAGACTCACAGCAAGCCAGGGAATAGAGTATCCTCTAATGCTGAGATTACTGTGGTGATCACAGGGAACACAATAGTCAGTTGGCTTAGAATCTCTGGAAGACCCTCTGAAGAAGTACAGGCACAAACAAAGCCAGACTAGGAAGACTAAAATATTTAATCTCTCAATGTGTAGATATCATCATACTTCAAGCGTCAAGAACATTCAGGGAAATATGATGTCAAAGGGACAAAGTAAGGCACCAAGACTGGCCCTAAAGTGATGAAAATATGTGATCTCTCAGACAAATAATTCAAAATAGCAGTTTTAAGGAAGCTCAGTGAACTTCAAGAAAGCTCACAGAAATCTCTCAGAGAAAGTTCACAGAAAAGATTTAAAAAATAAAATTAAACAGAAATCCTGGAGGTAAAAAATTCAATAAATGAAATGAAAAATGCAATAGAGCGTATCAGAGGAATTGATCAAAAAGAAGAAAGGATCAGTGAGCTCAAAGACAAGACTATTTGAAAATAGACAGTCAGAAGAGAAAAAAAAGAATAAGAAGGAATGAACAAAGCTTATGGGACCTATGGACCAACATCAAAAGAGCAAATATTTGGGTTAGTGGAATTAAAGAGAGAACTGAGAAAGACAAGAAGTTGCAAGCTTATTCAAAGAAATAACACAGAACTTTCCAAACCTGGAGAAAAATATAAATATTCAGGTACACAAAGGTCAAAAGTCACCGATCAGATTCAACCCAAGTGAGAAGACCCCAAGACATATTATAATTAAACTCACAAAGGTCAAAGGCAAAGAGGGTCCTAAAAACAGTGAGAGAGCAAGAAAAAAGCAAATAACATACAACGGACATCAAATACACCTGGCAGCAGACTTCTCAGCAGAAATTTTACAGGTCAGGAGGGAGTGAGATGATATTATTCAAAGTGCTGAAGGAAAAAAAAAATGTTCCCCAAGGATACTGCACCAAGCAGTTATTCCTCAGAAATGAAGGAGAGATGAGTTTTCCAGAGAAAACGTATCACTACCAGACCTAGCCTATGATAAATGCTAAAGAAGTTCTTAAAAGCATAGGAAAAATAATGCTAATGTGATTGTTATATTGTAATCATGGCATCTAAACCATTTAAAATTTTATTAAGAAGATTAAAAGACAAAACTATTAAAAATAACAACTATAAAATTTTTGAGGTAGGCAAATTTTGATCTTGTGACATCAAAAATTTAAAATGTAGGAACAGAAGGGAATTAAAATGCATGTGTTTTTTTCTTTTTGTTTCTTTTCTTCTGCTACAATGAAAAGTTAAATTGGTATCACTTTTAAATAACTTGTTATAATTACAGGATGTTTTTGTAAGCTTCATGGTAACCTAAAGCAAAAATCTATAATTGATAAACAAAAAATAAAAGCAGCAAATTAAAACATGCTATCAAAGAAAATCACTTAACCACAAAAATAAGAAAGGAAGTAAGGAGGTACACTATATAACAACTAGAAAATAAGTAATAAAATGGCAGTAGGAAGGCCTTACCTATCAATAATAACATGGAATGTATATGGACTAAATTCTCCAAATAAAAGACATGGAGTGGCTGAATGGATTAATAAGTAAGACCCAAGTATATGTTGCCTACAATAAACTAACTTCACCTATAGAGACACACATAGACTAACAGTGAAGGGATGGGAAAAGCATTCCATGCAAATGGAAACCAAAAGCATTCCATACAAATGGAAACCAAAAATGATCAAGACTAGCTATACTTCGATCAGATAAAATAGACTTTAAGTGAAAAACTATATAAAGAAACAAAGGAAATTGTTATATAATAATTCAGCAAGGAGTCAATTCTGAAAGAGGATATAACAATTATGAATATATATAACCAAATAGCAGGGTATATATATATATATATAGAGAGAGAGAGAGAGAGAGAGCAAATATTAGTAGATCTAAACAGGAGAGGTAGACTACAATACAATAACAGTAAGGGACTTCAACACCTCACTTTTGGCAATAGGTGGATCATTCAGGCAGAAAAATCAACAAAGAAACCTCAGAATTAAACTATACTCTAGACCAAAGGGACCTAACAGATATTCACAGAACATTTGATCCAACTGCTACAAAATACACATTCTTCTCATCAGTACATGGAACATTCTCCAGGACAGACCATATGATAGGCCACAAAACATGTCTCAACAAGTTTTAAAAAGTCAAAATCATATCAAGTATCTTTTCTAACCACAACAGAATAAAACTATAAATAACAAGAAATGTTGGAAACTATTCAAATATATGGAAATTGAATAACATGCTCCTGGATGATCAATGGGTCAATGAAGAAATTAAGAATGAAGTTTAAAAAGTTCTTGAAACAAATGAAAATGGAAATACAATATGCCAGAACCCACGGGATACAGAAAAAGTAGCACTAATGGAAAGTTCTATAGCAATAAATACCTACATTAAAAATATAGACTCCAAATATAAACAACCTAATGTTGCACCTCAATGAACTAGAAAAGGAAAAACAAACCAAACCTAAAATTAGTAGGAAAAAAATGAGTAAAGATGGAGCAGAAATAAATGAAATTGAGACTAAAATAACAATACAAAAAACCCCAACAAAATAAAAAGTTTGTTTTTTTGAAAAGCAACAAAATTTTAAAACCTTCAGTTAGACTAAGAAAAAACAGAAGACCCAACTAAATAAAATCAGAGATGAAAAAGATGACATTACAACTGATACTACAGATACACAAAGGATCATTAGCGACCATTATGAATAACTATATGCCAATAAATTGGAAAATCTAGGAAAAAATGGAAAAATTCCTGGAAACATATAACCTACCAAAACTCAACTGTGAAGAAATAAAAACCTGAATAGGCCAATAACAAGTAATAGATTGGAACAGTAATAAAAAGTCTCCCATCAAAGAGAAGCCAGGGAACTGATGGATTTACTGCTGAAATCTACCAAACATTTAAAGAATAACTAATACCAATTCTACTCAAACTATTTTTAACAATTGAAGAGGAGGAAATACTTCCAAACTCATTCTACAAGGCCACCCTGACCTTATTTCCAAAGCCAAAGATAACAAAAGAAAACTACAGGACAATATTTCTGATAAAAAGAGGGAAAAATCCTCAACAAAATACCAATAAACAGAAGACAGCAATATATTAAAAAGACCATTCACCATAATCAAGTAGGATTCATCCCAGTGATGCAAGGATAGTTCAACATATGTAAGTCAAATAAGTTTAATACATCACACATCAACAGAATCAAGGAAAATATATGAATTACTTCAATAGATGCTGGAAAGGTAGTCAGTAAAATTCAATATCCCTTCGTGATGAAAATCCTCAACAAATTTATAGAAGGAACATACCTCAACAAGATAAGTGTCATATATTACACACTCACAGCTTATGTCATACTGAATAGGTTAAAATAGAAAACCTTTCACTAAGATCTGGAATAAGAAAAGGATGCTCAGTGGTGAACTATAAACTGTAATTATTCAGTATAGTACTAGAATTCCTAGCCAGCACAATAGGGCAAGAGAAAGAAATAAAGGGCATCCAAATTAGAAAGGAAGAAGTCAAATTATTCTTGTTTGTAGATGACATGATCTTATATTTAGAAAAATCTAAAGATTCCACCAAAAAACTTTTAGAACTGATAAATGAGTTTAATAAAGTTGCAGGATATAAAATAAACACGCAAAATGTGTAACATTTCTATATGCTATCTGTGATCAATCTGAAAGGAAATCAAGAAAGCAATCACAACAGCTACAAAAACATACCTAGTAAAAATTCAACCAAAGAAGTGAAAGATCTCTACAAGAAAAATTATAAAACACCAATGAAAGATATTGAAGAGCACATAAATGGAAAAATATCCCATGCTCAAAGAAGAATTAATATTATTAAAATGTCTATACTACCCAAAGCAATCTACAGATTCACTGCAATCCCTATCAAAATACTCATGACATTCTTCACAGAAATAGAAAAAAGAAATCTTAAAATTCTTATAGAATCACAAAAAACCCGTAGTAGATAAATCAATACTGACCAAAAATAACCAGGCTGGAAACATCATACTATCTGATTTCAAATTATACTACAAGCTATAGTAAGCAAAGAGTATACCACTGGCATAAAAACAGACACATAGAAGACCAATGGAATACAATAGAAAACCCAGAAATAAATCTATGCACTTACAGCCAACTCATTTTTGACAAAGGCACCAATAACATACATTGGGGAAAAGACAATCTCTTTAATAAATGGTGCTGGGAAAACTGGATATTCATATGCAGAAGAATGAAACTAGAGCTTCATTTTTTATCACATTATGAAAATCAACTCAAAATGGACTTAAATTTAAACCTGAAACTATGAAACTGCTGGGAGAAAACACTGGGGAGATACTACAGGACATTGGCGAATATTTTTGGGGTAAGACCTCAAAAACATAGGCAATAAAAGCAAAAATAGACAAGTGGGATTACATCAAGCTAAAAAGCTTCTACACAGAACAGGAAACAACAAAGTGAAAAGATAACCTACATATGGAATGGGAGAAAATATTTGCAAATTATTTGACAAGGGATTAATAACCAGAATATATGAGGAATTCAAACAACTCAATGGGCCAAAACCCCCCAGATAATCCAATTTAAAATGAGCAAAAGACCTGAATAGACATTTATCAGAAGAAGACACACAAGTGGCCAAGAGGTATGTGAAAAGATGTTCAACATCACTAATCATCAGGAAAGTGCAAATCAAAACCATAACGAGCTATCATCTCACCTCAGTTACAATGGCTATTATCAAAAAGACAAAAAACAAATGCTGGAGAGGATGCAGGAAATGGTGAATGCTCATACACTTGGTGGGAATGTAAATTAGTACAGCCATCATGGAAAACATTCTGGAGGTTTCTCAAAAAACTTAAAAGTAGAACTACTGTATGATCCAGCAATCCCACTGCTGAGTATATATCCAAAGTAAAAGAAATCAGTATATCAAAGAGGTATCTGCACTACCATGTTTATTGTAGCACTATTCACAATAGCCAAAATATAGAATCAGTCTAAGTGTCCATCAATGGGTAAATTAATAAAGAAAATGTGAGATAGATACACACACACACACACACACACAATGGAATATTATTCAGCCATAAAAATAATGAAATCCTGTCATTTTAAGCAACATGGATGAAGCTGGAAGTCATTATGTTAAATGAAATAAGTCAGGTATGGAAAGACAAATATCCCATGTTGTCACTCATATGTGGGAGCTACAACAGTGGATCTCATGGAGATAGAGAGTAGAAGAGTGGCTACCAGAGGCTGGGAAGGGAAGGGCAGAGGGTAGGATAAAGAGAAATTGGTTAGCAGGTACAAACATACAGTTAGATAAAAGGAATGAGTTTTAGTATTCAATAGTACAGTAGAAGAACTATAGTTAATAATAAACATTCCCAACACAAAGCAAAGATAAATGTTTGAGGTGATGAATATCCCAATTTTCCTAATTTGATCACTACACATTGTATACATGCATCAAAATATCATGTGTACTCCAAAAATATGTACAACTATGACACACAATTTAAAAATGCCAAAAAAGACTGAAGATGAAAAATGTTGTTAGAGTCAAAAAAAAAAACGTTCTATAATGAGAAATGAGATAATTCATCAAGAGGTCATAATAAAAAAATTTATGTGGCTCATGTTCTAATCCATGAAGAACAATCTGGTAGAACTGCATGAAGAAACAGACAAGTCTTTAATTATAGTTGGCAATTTCAAATACCCCCATCTCAAAACTGATATGACAAGTAGACAGAAAACCATAAGGATATAAATTTGAACAATACTATCAAATATCTACTTGACACAGAACATTCAACCCAACAATAGCAGAATACACATTCTTTTGAAGTGCACACAAAGCATTTACCAAGATACACAGTATTCTGGTCCACAGAACAAGTCTAAATAAATGTTAAGGATTCATGTCACTCAAAGCATGTTGCCTGATACAATGGAATTAAATTAGAAGTCAATGTAGAACAATATCTGAAAAACCTCCAAATATTCTGAAACTCCACAACTTGGCCCCAAACAGCCTATGGTCAAGGAAAAATTCAAAATGAAAATTTTAAAGTCTTTTTAAGTGAATAGAAATGAAAATGCAACCCATCCAAATTTGTGAATAACCCTGAAGATGTACTTAAAACAAACGTATAGCATTAAATGCCTATATCAGAAAGCAACCATGGCTTCAAATCAATGATCTCAGCTTACACCTTAAGAAATTAGAAAAAGATGAGCAAATTATAGACAAAATAATAGCAGAAAGGAAAAAAAAATAGCAGAAAGGAAAAAAAATAGCAGAAATCAACGAAACAGAAAACCAAAAACAATGGAGAAAAGTCGATGAATCAAAAGTTGGTTCTTTGAGAAGATCAACAAAATTTGTAAATCCCTAGCACAAATGATCTGGGAAAAAGAAAGACACAAATGATCAATATCAGGAATGAGATGGCCTCATCTAAAGTTCCTACAGATATCAAAAAGATAATAAAGAAACATTATGCCAGTAAATTAAACAATGTGTAAGAATGGAAAAATGTCTTGAAAGATGAAAAATTCCAAAGCTCTTTCAAGAGGTAATAGATAATAAAAATGGCCCTAGATTCATTAAAGAAATAGAATCTGTAGTTCACAACCTTTCCACAGGTAAAACTCTAGGACCAGATGGAGGCACTGGTGAATTCTACCCACCATTTAAGGAAGAAATAATAACAGTTCTACTCAAAGTCTTCCTGAAAATAGGAAGAAATACTTCCCAAGCTATACTATACTAATCTGATACCAAAAGCAAACAAGTATGTTGTTTGAAAAAAAAAAAAAAACACAAAAACCTGCAGAACAATATCCCTCATGAACATTGCCAAAAAAATTCTAAATAAAATATTAAAGAGCCATATTAGAAAATTGTATCTAGGGCTAGGCATGGTGGCTTACTCCTACAATCTCAGTATTATGGGAGGCTGAGGTGCTTCAGGCCCGAAGTTCAAGACCAGCCAGGGCAACATAGCAAGACCTCATCACTACAAAAAAAGTATAAAAAATTAGCTGGGCACAGTGGTGCACACTGTAATCCTAGCTAGTTGGGAGGCTGAGATGGAAGGAAGGATTGCTGGAGCACAGGAGTTTAAAATTGCAGTGAGCTGTGATCATGCCACTACACTCCAGCCTGGGTGACAGAGTGAGACCCCAACTCAAAAAAATATTGTATCTAGCAACAAATACAAAGGGTTTTATACCATGAGCAAGTGAGGTTTATTTCAGGAATGCAAGGTTGATTAACAAAAAAAACCTAATCAATATAATTTACCATATTAACAAACTGAAAGGAAAACTATATGATTGTTTCAGTAGATGCAGAAAAAGCATTTACCAAAATTCAGTCATTCCTGATAAAAAATCCTCAGCAATATATAAGTAGAAGGCAATATCCTCAATTTAATAAAAGGTATCTACTAAAAACTAAAGCTAACATCATACTTAATGGTAAAAGACTAAATGCCTTCCCTCTAAGATTGGGAGCAAGACAAGCATGTCCACTCTCACCGTTTCCATTTAACATTATACTGGAAGTCCTGGCCAGTACAATAAGGCAAGTACAATAAATGAACGATATCCAGATTGGAAAGAAAGTCAAATGATCTTCATTGGTGATATAGTCACCTATAGAAAAATCTAATGGATGCAATCCACAAAAAAGGTACTAGAACTAATAGGTGAGTTTAGGAAGGTTGCAGGATATGAGGTCAATGGACAAAAATCAATGCATTTCTTTATCATAGTAACAAACAATTAGAAATTAAAACATAAGGCTGGGTGTGGTGCCTCGCACCGGTAATCCCAGCATTTTGGGAGGCCAAGGCAGAAGGATCACTTAAGGCCAGGAGTTCAAGACCAGCCTGGTCAACATAGTGAGACCCCATCTCTACAGAAAAATGATACAAAAAGAAATTAGCTGGGTATGATGTCATGTGCCTATAATCCTAGCTACTCAGGAGGCTGAGGTGGCAGGAACACTACAAATTTGAGGCTGCAGTGAGCTATGACTGTGCCTCTACAATCCAGCCTGGGTGTCACTCTGTCACCCCAACTCAAAAAAAATTAAAAATACCATTTACAACAACATCAAACACATGATTTAGAGATATGATTAAAATGTGTACATAAAAACCATAAAATATTGCTGAAAGCTATCCTTAAAAAAAGATGAAATATTGCTGAAAGCTATCCTTAAAAAATGAATGAAAAGTAAAGTCTTTCCCAAACAAGAAAAAATGGAGGGAATTCACCACCACTAGACAGGCCCTGTGAGAAATGCTTGAGGGAGTTCTACATCTGGAAGCAAAAGGACAATAACTACCACCGTGAGAATACGCAAGACTGAAAAACTCACTGGGAGAGCAGATACACGAATGAGAAAGAGAAAGGAGTCAAACATCACTACAATAAACTACCAAATCATCAAGGTAAGCAATACAAGAGGAAGAAAGGAACAAAAAATATACAAAACCATCATAAAACAGTTTACAAAATCACAGAAGTAAGTCCTTACCTATCAATGACATCCTTGAATGTAAACAGTTTAAATTCCTTAAGTAAAAAATATAGACAAGATGAATGGATTTATTTAAAAAAAAAAAAAAGACCCAACTGTATGCTGTCTCCAACAAATGCATTTCATTTGTAAAGATGCACATAGAATGAAAATGAAGGGATGGAAAAAATTATTCCATGAAAATAGAAACCAAAAGTGTGCCAGAGTAGCTATACTTACATAAGACAAAATACAATGTTAGCCAAAAAACATAAAAAGTGACAAATAAGGTCATTATATTAATATAATGATAAAGGGAACAATTCAGCAGGAGACTATAACAATTGTAAATATATATGCAGTCAACACTGGAGTACCCAGATATATTATATAAAACAATTATCATTAGAGCTAAAGAGCTTGACCCCAATGCAGTAATAGTTGAGGCCTCCACCACTCCATTTTATTATTTATTATTTTTTGGTATGGGGTCTCACTCTGTCACCCAGGCTGGAGAGCAGTGGTGTGATCTTGGCTCACTGCAGCCTCAATCTCCCAGGCTCAAACGATCCTTCCACCTTGGCCTCCGGAGTAGCTGGCACTACAGGTGCATGCCACCACACCCAGCTAGTTTTTGTATTTTTTCTAGAGACAGAGTTTCACCATGTTGCCCAGGCTGGTCTCAAACTCCTGAGCTCAAGTGATTGGCCCGCCTTGGCCTTCCAAAGTGCTGGGATTACAGGTGTGAGCCAATGTGCCTGGTCCTGGTCCACCACTCCGCTTTAGCACTGGACAGATCAACTAGACAGAAAATCAATAAAGAAACATTGAACTTAATCCGCACTACAGACCAAATGGATCGAACAGATATTTAGAGAGCATTTCATTCAAGTGCTGCAAAATACACAACCTTATTATCAGTACATGGAATATTCTCCATGATAGACCATGTGTTAGACCACAAAATAACTCTCAACACATTTTTAAAAGTTGAAATCATATCAAGCATCTTAGATCACAATTCAGTAAAACGAAATCAATAACAAGAACTTTAGAAACTGTACAAATAAATGAAAATTTAAAACCATGCTCCTACATGAAAACATGCTCCTAAATGAATGAAATAAAATCTTTTTTCTTAAAACAAATGAAAATGGAAAAACACCATTCCTAAACCTACGGGATACAACAAAAGCAGTAGTAAGAGGGGTTTAGAGTAATAAATGTTTTCCTCAAAAAAGGAGAAAGATTTCAAATAGACAACCGAATGATGCATCTCAAGGAACTAAAAAAGCCAAAGCAAACTGAGCCAAAAATCAGAAGAAAGAATAAAGATCAGAGACGAAATAAACACACACACACACAAAAATTACAAAGGATCAAGAAAATAAAAGCTTGATTTTTGAAAGGAACCAAAATTGATTAAACTGTTAGACTAACCAAGAAAAAAGATCCAAATTTTAAAAAATGAGAAATGAAAAAAATACCACAGAAATACAAATGATTAGAGTCTTATGAAGAACTACACACGAACAAATTGGAAAGCTCAGGTGAAATGGATAAACTCTTGGACACATACAGCCTTACAAGATTAAATCAGGAAGAATAAAAAAATCTGAACAAATAATGAGTAACAAGAATTAATCAGTAATAAAAAGTTCCCCAACAAAGAAAAGCCCAGGACTTTAAAAGTTCAGTAGAATTAAGGAGTAAAGTAAAACCAATTCTTCTCAAACTATTCCAAAAATTGAAGAGGCGGGAAGTCTTCCTAATTCACGCAACCAGGCCACCATTATCCTAATACCAAAATGAGATACCAATATCCCTGATGAACATAGATGCAAAAATCATCTAAAAAATACTAGCGAACCAAATCTAACAACACACCAATAACATAATACACCATAATCAAGTGGGATTTATCCTAGGGATGCAATGATGGTTCGATGTATGCAAATCAATAAACGTGCACATCACATCAACATATGAGAGACTAAAACAACAAGATCATCTCAATAGACACAGGAAAAATATTTGATAAAATCTAACATCCTTCATGATAAAAACTCTCAATAAGTTAGGCATAGAAAAAACATGCCTCAGCATAGCAAAGGTCATATATGACAAACCCACAGCTAACATCATAATAAGTGGGGAAAAGCTAAAAGCCTTTTTTTTCTAAGAACTGGAACAAGACAAGGATGCCCACTTCCACCACTGTTATTCAACATAGTACTGGAAGTCCTAGCTAGAGCAATTAGGCAAGAGAAAGAAATAAAAGGCATCCAAACTGGAAAAGCGAAAGTCAAATTGTTCCTCTCTGCAGATGGCATATAATAATTAGAACAACCTAAAGATTCCACCAAAAACTCTGAGAACTGATAAATTTGGTAATGTGGCTGGATACAAAAATCAGTAGTGTTTCTACACACCAGCAACAAATAGTTGAAAAAGAAACCAAGAAAGCTACCCCATCTACTGTAGCTACTAAAAAATACCTAGGAATAAATGTAAGGAGGTGAAATACCTCTATAACAAAAACTTCAAAATACTGATAAAAAAATTGAAGAACATAGAAAAAAATGAAAAGACATCCCATGCTCATGGATCAGAAGAGTTAATATTATTTATTTATTTATTTATTTACTTCAAGTTCTGGGATACATGTGCAGAACCTGCAGTTTTGTTATATAGTTATCCATGTACTATGGTGGCTTGCTGTACCCATCAAACTGTCATCTAGGTTTTAAGCCCCACATGCATTAGGTATTTGTCCTAATGCTCTCACTCCCCTTTCCCTCAACCCCCTGACAGGCCCTGGTGTGTGTTGTTCCCCTCCTTGTGTCCATGTGTTCTCATTGTTCAACTCCCGCTTATGAGTGACAACGTGTGGTGTTTGGTTTTCTGTTCCTGTGTTAGTTTGCTGAGGATGACGGCTTCCAGCTTCATCCATGTCCCTGCAAAGGACATGATCTCATTCTTTTTTATGGCTGCATAGTATTCCATGGTGCATATGTATTACATTTTCTTCATGCAGTCTATCATTGATGGACATTTGGGTTGGTTCCATGTCTCTGCTATTGTAAATAGTGCTGCAATAAATATATGTGTGCATGTGTCTTTGTAGTAGAATGATTTATATTCCTTTGGGTATATACCCAGTAATGGGATTGCTGGGTCAAATGGTATTTCTGGTTCTAGATCCTTGAAGAATCACCACACTGTCTTCCACAGAAGTTGAACTAATTTACATTCCCACCAACAATGTGAAAGCGTTTCTATTTCTCCACAGCCTTGCCACCATCTATTGTTTCTTGACTTTTTAATAATCACCATTCTGACTGGCATGAGATGGTATCACATTGTCATTTTGATTTGCATTTCTCTAATGATCAGTGATGTTGAGCTTTCTTTCATGTTTGTTGGCCACATAAATGTCTTCTTTTGAGAAGTGTCTCTCCATATCCTTTGCCCACTTTTTGATGTTTGTTTTTCTTGTAAATTTAGGTTCCTTGTAGATTCTGGATATTAGACCCTTGTCAGATGGATAGATTGCAAAAACTTTCTCCCGTTTTGTAGGTTGTCTGTTCACTCTGATGCTAGTTTCTTTTGCTGTGCAGGAGCTCTTTAACTTAATTAGATCCCATTTGTCAATTGTGGCTTTTGTTGGCAATTGCTTTTGGTGTTTTCTTCATGAAGTCTTTGCCTCTGCCTATGTCCTGGCTGGTAGTGCCTAGGTTTTCTTCTAGGGTTTTTATGGTTTTGGGTTTTACATTTAAGTCTTTAATCCATCTTGAGTTAATTTTTTTATAAGGTGTAAGGAAGGGGTCCAGTTTTAGTTTTCTGCATACGGCTAGCTTTTCCCAGTACCATTTATTAAATAGGGAGTTCTTTCTCCATTGCTTGTTTTTGTCAGGTTTGTCGAAGATCAGATTGTTGTAGATGTGTAGTGTTATTTCTGAGGTCTCTGTTCTGTTCCATTGGTCTATATGTCTGTTTTGGTACCAGTACCATGTTGTTTTGGTTACTGTAGCCTTGTAGTATAGTTTGAAGTCAGGTAGCGTGATGCCTCCCAGCTTTGTTCTTTTTGATTAGGATTGTCTTTGCTATATGGGCTCTTTTTTGGTTTCATATGAAATTTAAAGTAGCTTTTTCTAATTCTGTGAAGACTGTCAGTGTAGTTTGATGGGAATAGCACTGGATCTATAAATTATTTTGGCAGTATGGCCATTTTCACGATATTGATTCTTCCTATCCATGAGGATGAGATGTTTTTCCATTTGTTTGTGTCCTCTCTTATTTCCTTGAGCAGTTGTTTGTAGTTCTCCTTGAAGGGGTCCTTCGCATTCCTTGTAAGGTATTCCTGGGTATTTTATTCTCTTTGTAGCGATGGTGAATGGGAGTTCATTCATGATTTGGCTCTCTGTTTGTCTGTTGTTGGTGTATAGGAATGCTTGTGATTTTTGCATTGATTTTGTATCCTGAGAATTTGCTGAAGTTGCTTATCAGTTCAAGAAGTTTTTGGGCTCCAATGATATAGTTTTCTAAATATAGAATCAGGTCAACTGCAAACAGAGACAAGTTGACTTCCTCTCTTCCTATTTGAATATGCTTTATTTCTTCCTCTTGTCTGATTGCCCTGGCCAGAACTTCTAACACTATGTTGAATAGGAGTGCTGAGAGAGGGCATCCTTGTCTTGTGCTGGTTTTCAAAGGGAATGCTTCCAGCTTTTGCCCATTATGATATTGGCTATGGGTTTGTCATAAATAGCTCTTATTATTTTGAGAAACGTTCCATCAATACCTAGTTTATTGAGGCATGAAGGGTGTTGAATTTTATTGAAGGCCTTTTCTGCATCTATTGAGATAATCATGTGGTTTTTGTCATTGGTTCTGTTTATGTGATGGATTATGTTTATTGATTTGCATGTTGAACCAGGGATGAAGCTGACTTCATCTTGGCTAACTGCAATCTCTGCCTCCCAGGTTCAAGTGATTCTCCTGCCTCAGCCTCCCGATTAGCTGGGATTACAGGCACCCGCCACCATGCCCATCTATTTTTGTAATTTTAGTAGAGACAGGGTTTTGCCATGTTGGCAGGCTGGTCTCGAACTCCTGACCTCAAGTGATCCACCTGCTTGGCTCCCCTAAGTGCTGGGGTTATGGGCATGAGCCACTGTGAGCCACCGTGCCCGGCCAAGTTTCCTTTTTCTTGTTGTGTCTCTGCCAGGTTTTGGTATCAGGATGATGCTGGCCTCATAAAATGAGTTAGGGAGGATTCCCTCTTTTTCTATTGTTTGGAATAGTTTCAGAAGGAATGGTACTAGCTCCTCGTCGTACCTCTGGTAGAATGCGGCTGTGAATCCATCTGGTCCTGGACTTTTTTTGGTTGGTAGGCTATTAATTACTGCCTCAATTTCAGAACTCGTTATTGGTCTATTCAGGGATTTGACTTCTTCCTGGTTTAGTCTTGGGAGGGTGTATGTGTCCAGGAATTTATCCATTTCTTCTAGATTTTCTAGTTTATTTGCACAGAGGTGTTTATAGTATTCTCTGATGGTAGTTTGTATTTCTGTGGGATCAGGGGTGATATCCCCTTTATCATTTTCTATTGTGTCTGTTTGATTCTTCTCCTTTTCTTCTTTATTAGTCTAGTGAAGTGGTCTATTTCCTTAATTTTTTTTTTCAAAAAACTGGCTCCTGGATTCATTGATATTTTGAAGGGTTTTTCGCATCTCCAACTCCTTCAGTTCTGCTCTGATCTTATTTATTGTCTTCTGCTAGCTTTTGGATTTGTTTGCTCTTGCTTCTCTAGTTCTTTTAATTGTGATGTTAAGGTGTCGATCTGAGATCTTTCCAGCTCTCTGATGTGGGCGTTTAGTGCTATAAATTTCCCTCTAACACTGCTTTAGCGGTGTCCCAGAGCTTCTGGTACATCGTCTTTTTGTTCTCATTGATTTCTCCCTTAATTTTGTTATTTACCCAGGACTCATTCAGGAGCAGGTTGTTCAATTTCCATGTAGTTGTGTGGTTTTGAGTGAGTTTCTGAATCCTGAGTTCAAGTTAACATTGTTAAAATGACCATCCTACTCAAAGCAATCTACAGACTCAATGCAGTCTCTGTCGAAATATCCATGACATTCTTCATGGAATTTAAACACACAGAGAAAAACCTTGCACACAAAGCAATACTGGAAAACAAAGAAACAAGCTGGAGGCATCACACTAGCTGACTTCAAAATACACTACTAGGAAGCTACTGTAACATAAAACAGGCTGGTATTGACGTAAAAAGACACATAGACCAATGGGACACAATAGAGAACCTACAGATAAATCTATCTATTTACAGCCAACTCATTTTTGACAAAGGCACCAAGAACATGCATTGGGGAAAGGACATCCCCTTTAATAAATGGTGCTGGGAAAACTAGATATCCATAAGCAGAAGGGTGAAACTAGACCGCTATCTCTTACCATATATAAAAATCCACTCAAAATTTATTAAAGGCTTAAATATTAAGACCAAAAACAATAACTCTACCAGATGAAAACATAGGGGAAATGCTTTGGGACATTGGTCCAGGCAAAGATTTTATGGCTAAGACTTTGAAAGCACAAGTAAGAAAACCAAAATTAGAAAGATTGGAGTATGTTAAACTAAAAACGTTCTGCACAGCTAAGGAAACAATCAACAGAGCAAAGAGACAACCTGCAGAATGGAAAAAAAATATTTGCAAGCTGTTCATTCAACAAGGAATTAATATCCAGGGAACTCAAAACAGCAAAAAACCCAAACAAACCCATTAAAAATTGGGCAAAGGATCTGAATAGACATTTCTCAAAAGAAGTCATACACATGGCAACCAGGTATGTGAAAAAATGTTCAATGTCCCTAATCATCAGGGATGTGCAAATCAAAACCACAATGAGATATAATTTCACCCCAGTCAGAATGGCTATTATTAGAAAGACAGAAAAAAAAAACCCACCATGAAATCTAGTGAAGATGCATAGTAAAGGGAACTCTTACACACTGTTGGTGGGAATGTAAATTAGTACAGCCAGTATAGAAAACAGTATAGATGCTTCTCAAAAAAAAACTAAAACGAGAACTACCATATGATCTAGCAATCCCACTACTGGGTGTTTGTCCAAAGGAACAGAAATCAGTATATCAAAGGGATACCTGTACCCCTATATTTATCACAGCTCTATTCGCAACAGCCAAGATACAGAATCAACCTAAGTGTCCAACAATGGATGGATGAATGGAACGGGACCAAGAAAATGTGCTCTGTATACACAATGGAATACTAGCAGTTATACAAAAACTCAAATCCTGTCATTTGTAGCAAAATGTGCTCTATATACACAATGGAATACTAGTAGTTATACAAAAACTCAAATCCTGTCATTTGTAGCAAAATGGATGGAACTGGATGTCATTATGTTAAGTCAAATAAGCCAGGCACAGAAAGACAAATATTGCATGTTCTCACTCATATGTGGGAGCTTAAAAAGTTGATCTCATGCAGGTAGAGAGGAGAATGGTAGATACCAGAGGCTGGGAAGAATGTGTGTGTGTGGGAAGGGGCGGGATGTGGGGTGCCGGGGGAGGGGGATAAAACAGGTGGGTTAACAGTTACAAATACACAGTTAAATAAAAGGAGGAAGCCGTAGTGTTTGATAGCACAGTAGGAGGCTATAGTTAACAATAATTTATTGTATATTTTCAAATAGCTAGAAGAAAATAATGAAATGTTCCCAACACAAATAAGTGATAACTGAGGTGATGAATCTCCTAAATTCCCTGATTGATCATCACACATTGTATGCGTGCATCAAAATATCACCCATAAATATGTGTAATTATATATCAATATAAAAGAAATACATGTTTAAATAATAGCTTTTTCCTACTTTAAAAAATTACTGAAGGGAACTAATAAAAACCTAAACTAGAGAGAGATACTGTGCTCCTGGGTCAGAACACTCAATACTGTGAAGAGGTCAATCATCTCCAAGTTGCTATAGCTTCAATGCAATCCCAATCAGAATCCTGGTAGACTTCTTTGATAGAAATTTTTTCTACGTAATCCATTTAGAAAGCGACTCTAAAATTTGTATGGAAATGCCAAATACACTGAATAGCCAAAACAACTTTAAAAAATAAGAACAAAGTTGGAAGGTTAACATTACCTAATTTCAAGACCTATTATACATCCACCATAATCAAAACAGTGTGGTATTGGTGTAAAGATAGACAAATAGATCAATGGAACAGAACAGAGTCTAGAAATAGTTGCACATAAATATGGCCAACTAATCCTTGACAAAGGTAATTTAGTAGAGAAATAATAGCTTTTTACAACAAATGATACTGGAAATTTTGGATACTATATTCATACACACACACAAAAAAACACCTAACCTCCCTCAACCTGAAAAAAACTACTTGAGTCCATACATTGCAAAATATACAAAAATTAACTAAAAATTGATCAAAGACCTAAATTTGAAGCCTAAAATTACAAAACTTCTAGAGGAGGCATAAGAAGAAACCTTTTTGGCCTTGGGTTAGGCAAAGATTTCTTAGATGTGACAGCAAAAACATGATTCATAAAAGAACATATAAATTGGACTTCATAAAAAAACAAGTATTTGTTTTTCAAAAGATGCTGTTGAGAATGAAGAGAGAAGCCACAGACTGAGAGAAAATATTTGCAAATACTATATCTTATAAAGGATTTGCATCCAGAATATATTAAAAACTTTCAAAACAATTTTTAAAAGGACAGAAGATTTGAAGGGACATTTCACCAAAGAAGAGGTATGGATGCCGAATGGGCGTGTAGAAGGATGCTTGGCATCATTGGTCATTAGCGAAGTGCAAACTAAAACCACAAGACACTATTACAAACCTACTATGTAAACAGGCAAAACTTAAAAGACTGACCACACCAAATGCTGGTGGGGGTATGGAGGAACGGGAACTCCCCATATAAAATAGTACAAGCACTTTGGGAAACAGCTGAGAAATTTCTTAAAAAGTTAAACATCTACTATATGGTACAGCCATTCCAGTTTTTCTTTTTTTTTTTTTCAAATATTCCCAGACATTGATAAGATTCCAGTTCTAGTATAGGTTTTTACCCCAAAGGAAAGAAAATATATGTCCATATATATATTAGACTGTTTTCATACTGCTATAAATAACTACCTGAGACTGGGTAATTTATGAGGAAAATAGGTTTCATTGACTCACAGTGAAGGAAGACACATCTTCCCATGGCAGAGCAGGAGAGAGAGCGAGTGAGCAGGGGGGAGAGTACCACACACTCTTAAACCACCGGATCTCATAACTCACTATGATGAGAACAGCATGGGGGACATCCATCCTCATGATGTAATCACCTCCCACCAGGTCCCTCCCCCAACACTGGGAATTACAATTCAACATGAAATTTGGGCGAGGACAGAGCCAAACCATATAACCATACAAAGACTTGTGCATGTATGCTCACACAAGCTGAATATCCCTTATCTGAAATGCTTGGAACCAGAGATTTTGGAGTATTTGCATATATCTAATGACATATCTTGGAAATAGGACCCAACGTAAACATTAAATTCATTTATGTTTCATATATACCTTATATACACAGCCTGAAGATAATCTTAGACAATATTTTTGATAATTTTGTACACAAAAAGTTTTTCCTGTGACCTGTCACATGCGGTCAGATGTAGAATTTTCTACTTGTGATGTCATTTGGCGCTCACAAAGTTTCAGATTTGGAGCATCTCGGATTTCGAATTTTCAGATTAGGGATGCTCAACCTTTAGTACTTTTATTTGTAATATCCCCAAACTGGAAACAACAGAAATGTCCATCAAGAGATGAATGGATCGGCCAACTGTGGTATATCTGGGCAGTGGACTATTATGCAGAAATATAAATATATGAACTATTGATACAGGCAATGAAATGATTACATCTCAAAATCATTATGCTAAGTGAAAGAAGCCACACACGAGAGTACCGTCTGCAAGATATGTTTCCTTTTACATAAAATTCTAGGAAATCCACACTAATGTCTAGAAACTGAAAGTAGTTCAGTGGTTCCTGGGTCTGGAGACAGGAAGGAAGAGGAGCTGGAGGCAGGGATTGCAAGGCTCCCGAGGAAACTTTTGGGGGTGAAGAATATATTCATTATCTTGATTGAGGACGGTTTCATAGGCATATACATATGATAAAACATCAAGTTATATGATTTAATATGTACAGTTTATTGTAGCTCAGGTATATCTCATTAAAGTTGTTAAAAAACAACAAAAAAAAAAAAAAAAAAAAAAAAAACTTGCTCACGATCCTGCAGCCAGTAGTAGAGCTAGGATTCAAACCACAGACTGACTGCAAGACCTGAGCTCTCAACTACATCCTGCGGCCTCCATCAGCTCCACGAAGCAGCCGGAGAAGGCCGCCTTTTTGCCCCAGGCCCCACTCTTCCAGAGAGGCGTGTCTCTGGGTACATCACCCACTCCTTGGCTGTCTCCCTTCCCCCCGCCTCAATCCCAGGCAGCAGCGGAATGCTGCTCCTCCAGGCCTCTGGATCCCTATCTTTCCAGGCGGCCCAGCTTACAGCCTCATACCTGGCCTGCCTCCTGTTACTGCCAGGACAGCAACTCTTCCCTCTGCCTTTCCCTACTCTGCACAGAAGGAAAATGGCAAAGGCAGAGATGGAAACTTCCCAAAGCTGTTGTGGAGGCCAAGTAATTTGGGGCAAGATTGAAAGGTGTTGGTACAAAAAGCGAGCAGAGCGTGTGGGACCCGCGTGTGTCTGGACCATTGCAGGTGGCACTCGGGGTGCGTGGGAGGGATCTAGGCATCCACGCGTCTGCAGAAGAGCCCGAAGGACAAGGCTGATGCAGCACTGCTCATGCTGTAGGATGAAAATATTCGGCAACCACTGTCCTAAGGCTAATCTGCCTCCACCCCTTCCTATCCTCAAATTCCATATCTAGTACTGAGAAAAAAAGGTGAGAAATACTTAAAGAAAGCATTGCAATTCCAGCTCTCCAGCTACTGGCACGTCTATGGCAAAGAACTTTTTACATTAAGGATGTTATATTTTGTTTCTCTTCAACTATTCCCAGTAAAACCCCTTTAAGGGGAAGATATAATGTGTCACTTCTGTTTTATGCTATTTTGTACCCTGCAAGCTTGGGTCACAGCAGCGTGCTATGGAAATAGTTATTTTTAAAGCAAAATATCATCTGTTTTGCAGCCTAATTATATAGACAGGAGAAGCTCAGATATTCCACATGCACCACAGATTAAAGGGCAAAGACAGAGACCAATTCTGACTCTAACAGTCCATTTGATGTAATGGAATAAAATGGATAATGTACATGTAGTAAAACAGAACACAAGAACAAAAGGCACAGTTTAGACTGTGCTGAGGATGATAATATAAAATACCTATAATTATACCTGCGTGACTCAAAGTAAGAGTCACATTTAGACAATGGAAAATCTACTCTCTGCTCCGTGCCTATTGGAGTTGCCGTAGGCACAGAATTGTGAATTTCACACATGGTGCTTAACTTGAAATAGTACAAGGTGAGTCAGCACAGGCCACTTGCTATTATCAAGAATTTCCATCACTTCCGGCGGCTGGGGAGAAAGTGTAGTTACACAGCAAATGAACACAATAGGTGATAATTAATAGCAGGTAAGAAGCAGGTTCCTCACTGACTTTCCAGATTTTGAGGTCAAGACTGCAGGGTTAAAGGAACACAACTCAGTCTGCCTTGAGTAATCCTTTAGTTATATTCTAATATGCAATATTTTAAGTCTAGACTTTGACCAAACCAAATTACCCACATGCCTTATTCTACCCACAGGAAACAATATAATAACGTCTCCTACGCCTGAGCCACACTTTATTAAGCACCTGGAAGGTAGCAGGAAATCCTAAATTCTCCTAATATCACTTAATTCCTATAATATCCCACAATGCAGAAATTAGCCCCATTTTACATATAAGGAAACTGAGGCTCATAGAAGTTAAATAAATCACCCAAGATCTCATAGAAAATTAATGCTAAATCTAAGATGAAAATCCGAAGCTAACCAGAAAGCATGCAGAAGCTCTTTTAACTCGCCTTCCCGCACCGTCGTAGTTCCTCCCAAACTTTGCTGCCCGTTGGAATCACCCTGGAATCTTTCAAGAAATATTGACGTCTGGTTCCCACTCCCAGCCTTTCTAATTTAATTGGGCTGGAGGGCAGCACGCACTCTGGGATGCGTTTAAAAGCCCTCCAGGTGAGTCTAATGTGTAGCTAAGTTTGGGAGCCACTGCCTTACCACCTGGCCAGGTTCAGCAATGCTCTGGGTCACCTGCATAAGAAGTTCTGCCTGACGCCCACAGCACGCTGAGGGCTCGTGGTTAGTGGAGGCTGTGGTCTAGTTTGTGCACTTTTGCTCCAAAAAGAATCAGCTGCATAGTTCTTAATAGGTCAGCTGTGTTTCCTCCTAAATTGGTTTCTGCCCCTTGTTATTTTAAATAAAAACATAAAATACTGTATAAGCCAATGAAATGATTTTGTAAAGAGAGTTAATGTTTTTATAAAAACTCAACTCAATGCTTTGAAAAGATGTGATAAAAAATGAGGATTTTTTGGACGGGTACCATGGCTCACACCTGTAATCCCAGCACTTTGGGAGGCCAAGGCAGGTGGATCGCCTGAGCTCAGGAGTTTGAGAGCAGCCTGGGCAAAATGGTGAAACCCCATCTCTACAAAAAAATATAAACTATTAGCCAGGCATGGTGGTGCGCACCTGTTGCCCCAGCTACGTGGGAGGCTGAAGTGGGAGGATCACTTGAGCCTGGGAGGCAGAGGTTGCAGTGAGCCAAGATAGCGCCACTGCACTTCAGCCTGGGTGACAGAGTGAGACCCTGTCTCAAAAAAAAAAATTTTTTTTAACGATGTTGAATTTTGTGTGAATGAGGAATTATAGAGTGGAAAATACTGTAAGAATCTAGAAAAAGTCTATACCCAGTTGGTTGTAAAGTGTTTTTTTAAGCTCTTAAATCTCTTTGAAGAAATTCAAAGCAAAAACTGAACTGTTAATACGAATGTGGTTCGTGGAAGTCAAATTAATTGAATTGAAAACTCAAAGAGAGAGCCTTGGCCCTTTGTGGTTCGTAAGATCAATGAATAAAAATACATTTGTATTATTTAATTTCAGATAACACCTTTATGAATACATCATTTTCTATAATTCCCCCTCTAACATACTTGCCCAGTCAGCTGACTGCCTCCTGACTCTGTTGCGTTGTGAGGCTTCTCTGACCTAATACCATCTGCTTACGTGAAAGGTAATTGGGTGGTCTTACTCTTCCCGAATCACAGCTCTACTAGATAACACAGAGATTAATTTTTATTTTATTTTTCATTTTTTGTTTTTGAGATGGAGTCTTGCCCTGTCACCCAGGCTGGAGTGCAGTGGCGTGATCTCAGCTCACTGCAAGCTCCGCCTCCCAGGTTCAAGTGATTCTCCTGCCTCAGCCTCCCGAGTAGCTGGGACTACAGGCGCCCGCCACCATGCCTGGCTAATTTTTGTATTTTTAGTAGAGACGAGGTTTCACTACGTTGGCCACGCTGGTCTTGAACTCCTGACCTCAAGTGATCCTCCGGCCTCAGCCTCCCAAAGTGCTGGGATTACAGTGTGAGCCACCACGCCCAGCCCAGAGATTCTTTTTTTTTTTTTTTTTTTGAAACAGTTTCCCTCTATTGCCCAGGCTGGAGTGCAGTGGCGCCATCTCGGCTCACTGCAACCCTGTAACCTCTGACTCCTGAGTTCAAGCAATTCTCCTGCCTCAGCCTCCCAAGTAGCTGGGATTATAGGCACCTGCCACCACACCTGACTAATTTTTGTAATTTTAGTAAAGAGGGGGTTTCACCATGTTGGCCAGGCTGGCCGAGGTGGGTGGATCACCTGAGGTCAGGAGTTCGAGAGCAGAGAATCATTTTTAAAACCACAGCACACATTTCATTTGGACAAAGGAGACCTGAGCACTGACGCAGCGGACACAGCCCCAGCACTGTGGCACTCTGTCTCAAGGAACCCATAGTCTAATAGGGCTTGGACAAGCTCACCAACAGCACGCAGCAGACACAGCCCCAGCACTGTGGCAGTCTGTCTCAAGGAACCCATAGTTTAATAGGGCTTGGACAAGCTCACCAACAGCACGCAGCAGACACAGCCCCAGCACTGTGGCACTCTGTCTCAAGGAACCTATAGTCTAATAGGGCTTGGACACTGATGCAGTGGACACAGCCCCAGCACTGTGGCACTCTGTCTCAAGGAACCTATAGTCTAATAGGGCTTGGACACTGATGCAGTGGACACAGCCCCAGGACTGTGGCACTCTGTCTCAAGGAACCTATAGTCTAATAGGGCTTGGACAAGCTCACCAACAGCACGCAGCAGACACAGCCCCAGCACTGTGGCACTCTGTCTCAAGGAACCTATAGTCTAATAGGGCTTGGACAAGCTCACCAACAGCATGCAGCGGACACAGCACCAGCACTGTGGCAGTCTGTCTCAAGGAACCCATAGTTTAATAGGGCTTGGACAAGCTCACCAACAGCACGTAGCAGACACAGCCCCAGCACTGTGGCACTCTGTCTCAAGGAACCTATAGTCTAATAGGGCTTGGACACTGATGCAGTGGACACAGCCCCAGGAGTGTGGCACTCTGTCTCAAGGAACCTATAGTCTAATAGGGCTTGGACAAGCTCACAAACAGCACACAGCAGACACAGCCCCAGCACTGTGGCACTCTGTCTCAAGGACCCTATAGTCTAATAGGGCTTGGACACTGACGCAGCGGACACAGCCCCAGCACTGTGGCACTCTGTCTCAAGGAACCTATAGTCTAATAGGCCTTGGATACTGACGCTGCGGACATAGCCCCAGGACGGTGGCACTCTGTCTCAAGGAACCTATAGTCTAATAGGGCTTGGACAAGCTCACAAACAGCATGCAGCAGACACAGCCCTGGCACTGTGGCACTCTTTCTCAAGGCACCTATAGTCCAATAGGGCTTGGACTAGCTCACAAACAGCCAAAATATAAGGCGGAGTAAGGCAAAAGCATAACATCCCCCACACTGCTGAAATTCAAAGAAGACATTACAAAGAGGGGAATCTGACGTCTTTGTTGAGGAGGCGATCGGAGAGGAGCGTGGCAGAGGCAAGGTGCCATTGTGGTTCCTTTCCTTTCCTTTTCCCTCCCTCCCTGCCTCCTTCTCTTCCTTCTGTAACCCTGACTTTGGTGGGAGGAAAGGCTGAAAACATAAGCATGAAAAGACCACTGAGGGGGTCCCAATTGGTGAGGTCCCAGAAGAGGCAGAAGGGGCAGGAGGAAGAATGCCAGGAGACGGGAGCAGCAGGCCTGTGGGAAGGAGCAGGGGGGAAACTGAGGTAAAGGGACCAGGAGACTATGAAACCAAAAGAAGAGAAGTTGAGGAATGCACCAGGTCAGCTCTGTCTTCTCATTGACTAAGATGCTAGTTACCTGCTGAGAGTGGCCAGGAGGCTTGAGAAGATTAGAAACGGAGGCGGTGATGGGAATTCCAGGCTGCACTCTTCAGAATAGTGTCTCCTGGCCAACATTTAAAAACATATAGATTACAAAAACCTAAAAAGATGAAACTGCCACTTCATTATTGACCAAGCGGGAGATGAGAGCCCTGTAGTGTGTGGACATCCTTGCTGCACAGGGCTTCGCTGCTGGGGACAGCAGGGGACTGGCTGTGGCTCCATTAGAAGCAAGGTTCTTTCCTAAGCCTCTTTTCCCACATCTGCCACCCAAAGAATGGATCTCCAGAGTCATATCCACCACACAGCCCTAAATACAGCATTAGTTGATTTAAGCCATTCCATGACATGTAAAGAAAACATTTGCATTGTCAAAAGAAAGCAGATTAGGCTAGGTATGGTAATCCCAGCACTTTGGGGAGGCCGAGGTGGGTGGATCACTTGAGGTCAGGAGTTCGAGACCAGCGTGGCCAACATGGTGAAACCCCGTCTCTACTAAAAAACACAAAAATTAGCCAGGTGTTGTGGTGGACGCCTGTCATCTCAGCTACTCAGGAGGCTGAGGCAGGAGAATCGCGGGGAACCCAGGAGGTGGAAGTTGAAGTGAGTTGAGATTGCGCCACTGCACTCCAGCCTGGGTGACAGTGCGAGACTCAGTGTTAAAAACAAACAAACAAACAAACAAACAAAAAAACAGATTAAAGAGTCTGATGAGATGTGTAGACAGATGAGTGTAGCACAGATGTGTGCCCATGTGCACATACATTTGTGTGCGCACACAGCAGCCCAGCCTACAAAGCCCTCTAATCCTCCCCACAGAGGCAATAAAGAGAATGAACAAATCAGAGACCCGGTGTCATTGTGGACCTTGAGCAACAGTTGCTTGCATGCTTAGATTACTCATAAAAGTGGGGCTTTTGAAATTATCTTTGTCAACAGGACAGGTGCGATCTCCGTATCATTAGCGCATTACCCTGAAGTATCACTAGTCCACGCTGAGCATCCCTAACCCAAAAAATCTGAAATCCAAAATACTCCAAGAATCTCAAACTTTTTGAAGGCCAATATGATGCCACAAGGGGAAAATTCCACACCTGACCTCGTGAGGGGTTGCAGTCAAAATGCAGTAAAAACTTTGTTTCATGCACAAAATTATTGAAGATATTGTATAAAGTTACCTTCAGGCTATGTCTATAAGGCATATATGAAACATACATGAAATCTGTATTTAGATTTGGGTCCCATTCCCAAGGGATCATTACATATGCAAATATTCCAAAATCGGAAAACAATCTGAAATCTGAAACACTTCTGGTCCCAAGCACCACCTTGTTTTAGGTGCCCAGTACACGCGTCGTTATGAGAAGCAGCTCTCTGATCAGTAGGGCTTCAGGGTCTGTTTCCCAGTGCTGGGATTCCCGAGGAGGCTCTCAAGCTATTACAGATTTAGCTTCGCAAAGCAGAGGAAGGCCTCCATGAGGCTGAAGGATCAGTCCCACTAATTCCAATGAGCTTTTAAACAGGGAGATATTTTAAGCTTAACCTAGTGCTATCTGCAAAACAGGGATACATCAACAAAGACTTTTCTATTTTGACTGGAAATGTTTAAAACTTTTTTTTGTCTGTCTACTTATATGTGTAAAATGCATTTGTGTGTAAAATTATAAATGTAAGATGCATTTGTGTGTAAAATGTATAAAATGCATGTGTGCATATGAGATTCAGAGGCGCACACAGAGTCTATTTAGTTCTTGCGGCAGAGATCTCTTCTAATGGCTTCCCTGCAGGGTGACTAATTAATAAACTTTCCCCTAATTGAGTTCTGGCTGCCAGGTCCGCAGGGATTATTACTTATATGTAAGTAAACAAAATTTCCATTTTAAACAACCCTCCAAATCTCCTCATTATATTTTAAACAGTTATAAATTCACTGAAGTCAAGTGAGTCCCAGGCGGGGAGGCCGTGTGCATTCTGGCCGGGATCCTTTCCCCTCGGGAGGGAAGAGATGTCCCCCAGGTCTGCCGATCGCACGACCCCTGGACTCCTTCCCCTTCTTTGTTCTCATCCACTGAAACATTAGGAAGGACCTAACCGAGGTTTTGGAAACCATTCGTGGTATTTGCCCTTTCTTTTAACCTGAATGCATTATTTAAAAGCAATTCTCTTTCACAACTTAAAAATAGGAAGAAGATGAGCTGGCTATTAAATATTTAATAAGGGTGCAGGATTCCTTAGGTACTGATTTGGGGTGGATCACTGGGTTTAGGGAATGTCTTGGCCTAAACTTTTGTGGAATCTGAATTTCAAGTTCTTATATTTGAAGTCATTTAATGAACTGTTTCCTTGTTTTCAAGATTTCTCCCTACTTTCAGATTCCAAATCGAAAGCAGAACTGCAAAAAAGAAAAAAAGTACAAAACCGAAAACAGAGTTGTCCTCAGTTTGGTTTGAAACCTGGAAGGAGGAGAGATAATCCCATCTCCCAAGTTTTTCTGATCAGTGCCATTTGGGAGTCATTTGGCTCAAGGGTTAGATGTTTTGCGAGTCACTCTTTACTGAAAGTACAAGAAAGTCCTGCAGGCTCTGATGATGATGATTACTGACAGCTGCTTAAAAGAATAAACTAAACATTTGTCAGACTCTTACATTGACAGGGTGAAGACACTACCCAGGAGAAAACAGTGAGGGCAGGGTTCAAGGCCAACTCCCACACAGTCAGGAGAAATGTGGATGCAATTGTGCTGTCGATTTTAAAGGTCTGCATCTCCTCATCCCTATCCGATTTTAAAGGTCTGCATCTCCTCATCCCTATCCGATTTTAAAGGTCTGCATCTCCTCATCCCTATCCGATTTTAAAGGTCTGCATCTCCTCATCCCTATCCGATTTTAAAGGTCTGCATCTCCTCATCCCTATCCGAATGCGTTTCCTTCTTTAAGAACGTGATTCTAAACGGAAGCGCTCTACATGGTGTGAGCCTGTTACCAAGAATACATCTCCCGAGAGATTCCCGTTCACTATCCTCGGCTCCTCTCCAGTGAGACTTTGCTCACCATCATGGGCTGTCGAGAGAGCTGCCCTCAAGCTAATGGGCCACTTCCCTGGGGCGCCTCGCCCGCTGTAAGTGAGGACCAGAACCTCTCGGTTCTTCACAGCAGCCACTGGAGGCAGCTCAGGGCTGATTTTCAGAGCCATAAAAAGCAGCCCCAGTTAGAGGAACTCCAGCCCCAGCTGTGGATATTTTCATTCTGTCCTGGTGGTAGGGTAGGAACCAAGCCTCCAGGCCCAGTCAAAACTGAAGGAGAGGCCAGGTGCGGTGGCTCACGCCTGTAATCCCAACACTTTGGGAGGCTGAGGCGGGTGGATCACGAGGTCAGGAGTTCAAGACCATCCTGGCCAATATGGTGAAACTCCGTCTCTACTTAACGTACAAAAATTAGCCAGACATGGTGGTGGGCACCTGTATTCCCAGCTACTCAGGAGGCTGAGGCAGGAGAATCGCTTGAACTCGGGAGGCGGAGGTTGCAGTGAGCCGAGATCACGCCACTGTACTCCAGCCTGGGCAACAGAGTGAGTGAGACTTCATCTCAAACAAACAAAAAAACTAAAGGAGCAGGCAGAACAGGCAGCAGGAACCAGAAGAAACAAGAGACGCGTGCTGCAGCATGGGGGAGTCTCAAATGCATTAGGACACTACGTGAAAGAAGCCAGACACAAAAGGCCACATCTGGGCCACACGAGTCCATTCCCACGATATCCTGGATAAACGCAAAACCAGGACAACAATCAGATCCGTGGTTGCCAGGGGCTAGAGGTCAGGGGAAGGGACAAACGGCAAGAGGGAACTTTAGCCTTATGCTCTATTTTGATAATGGTGGTGGCTACATGACTGTATAGATTGGCCAAAACTCATCTAAAGACACATCAAAGTGATGTTTTGGTGAATGTACCTTATACTGCAATAAACCTGGATTTTAACAACAGTAACTAAAGAGTAGGAAGAGAGGCACCGAGGTGGGGGAAGGGAGGCGCTTTTGCCTGGGGACAGCAGAAGCCCGCAAAGAGCTCTCTCCCCAGGAGTACTGTTGTCCAGGTCTTTTGAGCCACGAGGAGGCTTAGGGGAAATCAGGGGGAGCCTGTCCATAGATCCCAGCTGGAAGTCTTTTTATTTTTATTTTCTGAGACAGAGCCTTGCTCTGTCACCCAGGCTGGAGTGCAGTGGCACGATCTGGGCTCACTGCAACCTCCGCCTCCTGGGTTCAAGCAATTCTCCTGCCTCAGACCCCCAACTAGCTGGGAGGTGTGTGCCACCACGCCCAGCTAATTTTTTTATTTTTAGTAGAGACGGGGTTTCTCCATGTTGGCCAGGCTGGTCTCAAACTGCTGACCTCAAGTGATCTAACCACCTTGGCCTTCCAAAGTGCTGGGATTACAGGTGTGAGCCACCACGCCTGGTCCTACTTGGATGTCTTCATTCTAGGCTTCATCTACAACAGCTTTGCGGACCATCTCTGCTTTACTCAATGAGCTTTACAATTTCCAGTCCAGGGTTAGACTCTTAACTCAGTTTTCTGATTGTTTTTCTGGCATCCAGTGTCTTTGAGACAATCATGCAGAAAGCGCTGGGAGCCAGTTGCCTGTGTATTGAAAGCCCGGCAGAGCGGGACATGGAGGAACCACGGAAGCCACTGCCCGGCCAGCCCAGCAGCCCCGTTACCCACAACCTGCCTTAGGAACCCAGTGAAATCAACAGACCACTTTGCCCCTGGTCCAAGATCCCCACTGGAGACATTCAGCTGATCTGGTGCTCAACTCTTTTGG
Organism: Homo sapiens; assembly: GCF_000001405.40. NCBI lineage: Eukaryota > Metazoa > Chordata > Mammalia > Primates > Hominidae > Homo > Homo sapiens. The sequence continues at coordinate 245,612,956 of NC_000001.11, read as the reverse complement.
GCATAGAGTAAACACTACTTCACAGAAGGCAGAGAATTGCACCCCAGCCCGGGCTGACTTTGGAAACACAGCCAAGAGGGGTCTGTAGGGGCACAGTGTTGGGTTCCTGGCAGGGCAGCTCACTCGAAGAGCAGGCACCGTACCTGGGTTTTGACAGTAAACCTTCACTGACGATTTGAGGGAGGCAGCCAGGGTCTGGGTAGTTATTCAAAAGTCTGATTTCTATGCTATTTTAAAAAACATGGTCCATACAGTGGCCTCGAGCTAATGATGATAACACACTGCCGGAGTGCTTTGGTGGATAAATGTTGGTCTTTCTTGAGGAGCATTTTTGAGGTCTGTGAACAAAAAGATACTGTCAGGCAGTTGTTTTCTTTTTGTAACTTTGACCTCTCACATTCTCATGGCAATGACATTTGTAAATTACCTTTACCAAAGCAAACTCCTTTCCCTGGACAGTTCAAAAGTGAACTTCAGCCCAGATACTATAATTATCTTGAATTACGAGTCACTGAACTGCATATTGTAGTCTATTAAGAAAAGTTTGGCTAGGCATGGTGGCTCATACCTTTCATCCCAACACTTTGGGAGATCAAGGCAAGAGGATCTCAAGACCGGGAGTTCTAGACCAGCCTGGGCAACATAGCAAGGTCCCATCTCTACAAAGATAACCAAATAAATAGCTAGGTGTGGTGGCATGAGCCTGTAGTCCCAAGCTACTTGGGAGACTGAGGCAGGAGGATCACTTGAGCCCAGGAGTTTGAGGCTGCAGTGAGCTGTGATCGTGCCACTGCACTGCAGCCTGGGTGACAGAGCAAGACCCTGTCTCTCTCTCTCTCTCTCTCTCTCTCACACACACACACACACACACACACACACACACACACACACACACACACACAAAGGTCATGGTTGCCCAAGGGATTTCTGGCTGGGGCCAGAGCCGCTAAGGAGGCAGGAGGGTGGAGTGGCCGACTTACTTCCCCCTTTCCCGCTCTTCTCCATCCGGTACTGGTAGATGTGCAGTGTGAAGAACACGTGTGAGTTGCGGTGGTCGTCCTCATCACAGTCCTGTTGGTGGCTCCTGCGGGAGGCAATGGCGGCATCCAGGAAAAAGGCAGCCTTCTCTGCGGTGGGGGCCCGCAGCTCGCTCTGGTTCTGCAGCTGGAAGACAGAAGCCAAGAGATGAGGCTGCAGGCTGAGGAGGGCTTGCTGTCACTCATGCCTGGGTGTCCCCAGCACCATTCAGCTGGCTGTGTGTTCTGTATAGTAAAGCCACGTGCCCCTCTAAGGCTGAAAACCCTTCTGAAACAAGGTGCTATGCTCATGTGCAATTCTCAGCTTAATTAATTCATTTCTGAAAATTAATATTGAGCATACTTATTGGATGAAACCTATTTTTACCTACTTTACAGTCTAAGTAGAATCTGGAACTAGTGGGTGTGAAAAGCTGGGAGCAGATGGCTCATCCTTATCTCTGCAGAGGGCGGCAAACCAACACCCCTGGCTATCCATTTACCTAAGAAAACAGGAGCGATGTGACTGCATCTTGAGTCCAAAGATTAGATTGTTTGGAGACAGGTAGGTTGCAAAATGTGATTTGAGGCCTCATAGCAGTGGTGTCCCAAAGATGTAAAAAAACTTGGTTAGCTTTCATTTGACTCCTAGTTTTGCAGTTATTTAATTAAAGCCAATTTTAGGCCATATTTACTAGCATAGTTATAAATAAGAAACCAGTGTAAAGGGCACCCTCAAACACTCACGATACTTGAATGTCTCATCTAAATTTAGGAGATACCTATTTACCTTTAGTTCCTGAATCCATGCTCCCGGCATACTCATTAATTGATTAAAGAAAGCACACAGGGTAATGCGTCTGAATCTTATGAAAATACTTGGCAATTATTTTAAACCTGAATCACAACGATCACATTAACAGAATTGAACCAGCACTCCTCTTTTTGGGGAGAAAAGGCAACTCATGTTTCTGATTTGTTCAAAGAACTAATTTGCAGTACATGTCTTAAGGTTGGTACAAATTCTGACAATTTTCTACTCTAACTATACAAATAATTTTGAACTGTAAGAGCCAATATTTAGAACCTGAGGCCATCAAAATCCTCAGACTTCAAAGAGAGATTCTTTTGTGTTCAAAATTTTGTCTCGCTATGGAAAAATAAACCAAAGAATTTAAAAGATTTTTCAACAAGAATTAAAGGGAATATTGGTCTTTTCTTCTTTTTCTTAGCCTTCATTTAACCAGACTTTTCACCCCTTAGTGGAATTTCATCAATGAAGTTCTAAAAATGAATGGGGGTGAAAGCATATTTGAATGTCTAGAAAATGCCTGGAACAGGAGCAGTGGGTCGAGTCCTACTGATTGCATCACAGACACTGTGTAGATACTGTCTCTGCACATTTGATGCCTCAGAACAGTGATTTCCAACTGTGATCCCTGGACCGGCAGCATGAGCATCTCATGGGAACTTGTTGGAAATGCACATTTTGGAGCTCTACTCTAGACCTACTGAATTGGAAACTCTGGGGGGGTGCCCAGCGATCAGTGTTTAAACAAGTCCTCGAGGTGACAGATGCAGACGAAAGAGGACTCAGGGAAATGGAGGGATCTGAGGTGCTTTAAGCAGGGGAAGAGCATGGTCAGGTTTGAGTAATGAGTATAACAGGCCACGGGAGGTATCCTCACCTGTGCAAACAATCCCAGTTGGGAAGAGGCAGGTACTTATCAAACGGAACACCTATCTACAAAAGGAGGCATCTGACAACACGGGAAAATAAAGCCTACTGTTAGAGACTGGAAGGATTGATTATTCTGGATATGAATGAATTGCAGCTCCCGGGTCATTCCTACATCTGTTGTCAAACAGCAAAGGAGAGACCCTCCCAACAGGCTTAGCATCCTGAAATGGTGAACTGGAGCTTCTCTTGGCTTCCATAGTTCTAGCAATTATATCACGGTTCTAATTAGAAAGTGGTTATTAGTTTTTCCTGCAGCACTGCTAATCCGGCTGTAAACCAGTGCCAGAAGCACAGTTTATAGAGTCATCAACAGCCCCGTAATGGCTCTAGCTATTTGTGCAGAGCAGTAAATATTCCGGTTTGTTGTTAAACAAAAGAAAGATTGTTACTTTTTTTTTTTGAAAGGGGCATAAAGAAAGTGAATTCCATTTCTCCCCCAAATGCTGTAATTGTGGTCCCTGCTCATTGTCAATTAGAGTCAAGGTACAAATATTTAGACTGGGCAAGCCGATGGCCCCACAGCTGCAGGCCATAAAGTTCCAGTCCACTTTAAAGTAAACACCCGTAAGCCTCTGAGTTTACAGGTTCAGTGATTCACGGGTGGAGCTGCCCCAGCCTCTGAGGTGGGGAGGGAGCCACCTTGGGGCGAGCCAGGCTTCAGAAGCAATCACCTGCGTGCCGCAGATGGGGTCCTCACAGAGGTACACGCCCGGGGACTGGCCGTCCTGCAGGCTGCCCGTGGCCACCTCCGACAGCAGGTCCCGCAGGTTCTCCTCCTTCCCCCACACTTCCACGGCGGAAACCCGGACTGAGAAACGGGCGCCGGTCTTTTCCTTGCGTTCGTTTATGAGCTTGAAGAGCCAAGAGATGGCACAGGGAATGATGCCCAGGTTCTGCATGGAATCATCCTTTCCGATCATGGTGTAGGATTTTCCTGGGAGAACCAGGGAAGGAAGAAAAGCAGGTTCAGTGTCCAGGCATCATTCCACGGAGTCTCCAAAATAGATGCCAAGGATATAGAAGAAAGGCACAGGGAAGGGGGGAAAAGGGAAGAGAAGGAACAAAAAGATGAGAGAAATAGTATTTGACAACAACAGAAGGCATTTTCTGGTATTACTAACTAAATGGCTACAATAAAGAATGCTGGTTGGGCTCAGTGGCTCATGCCTGTAACCTCAGCACTTTGTGGGGGCCAAGATGGGAGGATTGCTTGAGGCCAGGAGTTCCAGGCCAGTCTGGGCAACATACGGAGACCCTGCCTCTATGAAAAATTTTTAAAAATTATCTGGGTGTGGTGGGGCATGCCTGTGGCCCCAGCTACTTGGGAAGCTGAGGCGAGAGGATCACTTGAGCCCAGGAATTGGAGGTTACAGTAATCTATGAGCATGCCACTGTACTCCAGCCCAGGCAACTGAGAGCCATCTCTTAAAAAAAAAAGAAACAAAGCAAGAGCCCAGACATGTGACAAGATTAAATCACCATGTACCTTGAGGAGGACCCCAAATATCACATGCTATCCAGTTCCTGCACTGCTTTACACACAGTGGGAAGGCTGGGCTTTTTCATCATCATTATGGTTCTTTTTATAGTTACCCCCCAGATTAAGTCCACATATTCACACTTTATATCCTGTCTCAAGTTAAATGCTGTGTATATTTTTATGGCATGAGCAAATTCTATTAAAACCCAGATCACTGCTTACATCAAGATCAAGAGAAAGGGCTGGGGAGGACGGAAGTGCAGAGAGAGGCAATGGCTTTCTGTCCTGGCTGAGAACTGGCCTCTGTGAGCTCCAGCAAGGCCTCTGTTGGAATCTCTGCCAAGGGACAGTTTTTGAAGCTCCTCAATTCACTAAACATATCAAGCGTGTAAGGGCAAGGCCTGGGGAGCAGATGGCCACAGGTCAGAAGTAAGATGGGACTGTGGGGGGATTTATGAACCCCTTGTTGGGGGGCTCTGCTGCCTCCTTTCCCAGACGCTTCAGCGCTGGAGTGTTCCCGACGGTGTGCACTGCTTTCTCCAGACGCGCCCTGGGCTCTGGGCTTTGCTTGGAGGTTGCTCCTCTGGCTTTTACAGGGGTCCAACCACCAACCCACATCCTCATGGGTGCGGTGGTGCAAGGGGCCCTATCTGCTTCCCAAACAGCGGCTGCTCAGGAAATGAATATTTTCCTGCCTGCCTTCTGGGCTTGACTCTGACCTGGACCAAGTGGGAACAACTCTGCTACTTCTCTTTCCATCTATTTGGACTTGAAGGCTTTCCTACATGAATGGGTGTCCACCTACAATGAACAACATAGGTTTTCGTCGTATAACTTGTTATTGGTTATTCAGCTCAACACCTAAGAGAAACGCAGCCCTTCCTGTCATCAGAGAACTCTGGGAGGGAGACAGAGGAATGCATGGGATGACAGGGAGCTCAACGAGCCGCATGAGAAAGTGAAACTCTCACGAACCCAGTTTGGCGTGGCCGAAACAGAACACGCAGCCATCTGCCCCGTTGACCACAGACTGGATCACCTCTGCCACGGTGCCTGCACACACTTCAGCCTGTCAGACACAAGAGGAGACACGAGCCGTGAATGGACCTCGCAGCGGAGACACCACTAACAACGAAAGTGAGCCCACCTTCCTGGGGCTTCGGGTCCCAGTGTCACTGTGTTCCCAGGTGGGTTGGCCTCTGTCGTGAAGTTTTGGAGATGCTCAGAACCCCTGGCGACCTTCCGCCCTTTGCAAGCCTGAGCATTATGCACATGCACTGCAAACCACCCTTCTGCTAATCCGTGGTACGTTTCAGCGAATGCGTCTGTAGAGCAGGCAGGAGCAGGCTGGAATGGGGGCACAGTGTGCTCATGAACCTCATTCCCTTCCCTCATCTGCCATTCTGGGGTCCCGGATAAGGTCTTTAAACTCTCCACTCACCCTCTGCTGACACACGTATACATAGAGTTTATTAAACAGGCCAGGCTTATGAGAGGGAAAAAGGTGACCCACCATTTCACAAGTGAGACCTTGAGAAACACCGTAGTTCTCACGTAAGCAAGAGGTTTGTGATATATATCTGCTTTCTCTCCTGATCTCTTTCCTCATTTTCAATTCACACCTTCCTCATTTTTTTTTTTTTTTTTTTTTTTGAGACGGAGTTTCAGTCTCGTTGCCCAGGCTGGAGTGCAATGGTGCGATCTCAACTCACTGCAACCTCCGCCTCCTGGGCTCAAGTGATTCTCTTGCCTCAGCCTCCCGAGTAGCTGGGATTACAGGCATGTGCCACCATGCCTGGCTAATTTTTTGCATTTTTTTAGTAGAGAGGGGGTTTCACCACGTTGGTCAGGCTGGTCTCAAACTCCTGACCTCAGGTGATCCACCCGCCTCGGCCTCCCAAAGTGCTGGGATTACAGGCGTGAGCCACTGCGCCCGTCCCATGCTCCTCTTTTCAAAACCTGCCTTTTCTTCCTTTTGCTACAGATACATTCAACATATAGAGTATCAGTCACCACATGGTATGTTATTAGGTGTTCTTTGGCCGGGTGTGTGTGTCTGGTCTCCAATTTGATTATTAAATCCTAGACAGGGACCAGGCTCTCGATGATGTTTTGTATTTCCCCTGAACACCCGCTAATACAGAGCTCTGCGAGCCATCAGAGCTGTCGGTTTTGTGGACTAACTTGGAGATCTGGGAAATGTCCTTCTCTTTGTTTAGCACCTGAGACTTGTCACAGAAGCAGAAAGATAGCATTATTCGCTGTGCCCTGTTGCTTTCATTTCTGTCTCGGGGCCGGAGTCAGGGCTCGTGGGAGCTCCGGGAGGCAGTGCTAACATGGGGCTTTGCAGCCCTCGGGGCAGCGTGCCTCCCGGTGGGCACCTGGGCCGTGAATGTTGTTATTCAGCAGCACAGTGAACCCAAGTATTTGGAAATCAGTTTTCTCTCCTAAACTAAAATTGAAAAACCACACTTCCAACAGCTGTCACTTGTTCCAGGGTGGTCCCCAGCAACTCTGCGGGGGGCGGGGGGCTCCTCCTGGGCCAGAGGGGGTGGCAGGACAGGGCTGCTGTAGGGCACACAGGATCTTTCAAACCCCCCAGGACTTAGGCAAGGAGAGCCCAGTGCTAACCCTGAGACAGAAGCAGTAGCGTCTTGATGGAATTTGCCAGAGGCGTGTCTGCAGAGCAGGCAGAAGGCTGCCCAATGGACTAAGCCTTCTTTGGACATAAAGTGGGATGGGAGGCAGGAGGCTGAGAAATCACCTTGAGCTATACATAAAATAAGCTGTATTTGATTCTTGAGCCACCTGGGAGAATGTTGGCTGTGTGTGGACCACACTGAGTCACCCGTGCAGAGGCCGGGGGCGAGAGGAGACCTGCTGTGCAGAGTTGGGGCGGCATCCCCTGGCACAGTTCCCACCCGGCTCTCCACTGAGAAGAGCGTGGTCAGCGGGCTGTCCATCTGGTGTGTGTTAAGAGCTGGCAGGGGCCCCGGAGGCCCCTTGCTGCTTCCCCTGGGACCTGGAGAGGCATGCAGCCTTCTCGAGCACAGCCCCCATGGGAAGGGCCAGGTCTGCAGGAAGGCTCTGCCTGCCCACAAGTCCAGGTTCTCCAGCAGGGGTGTGTCCCAGCAGAGACGTGTCCCAACAGGGGCAGCCAGCGACTGCCGAAGCCACTGAAGGGTCATATGGCTCTCAAAGGCAACCATGAAACAGGACTGTTCTAATCACTGTTTAGCTTCAGGAAGCTGATTTCCTTAGAAACGAAGAGAAAGCACAATTTCTAACTGCCCGGGTCACCACAGTGGCTGCGGCTTCACAGGCTGAAAATGAGGACTGGAGAGCACAGGCCCACTCCGCACACTCCCTCCTTTCAGGCTTGGGGGCTCCAGGGGTGCCCACCCTGTGGGGCTGAGTTTGCCCTGGCCAGCAGCATGCTGCTAATATTGGCAGTGATAACGGTAAAAATAGCCGCATTTGTTGAGCACTTGCTGTGTTCCTGGCTCTGCTGTGAGCACTTCCTGTGTGTCAACTCGAGGAATCACACGGCCTGATGAGGAACATTGTGGTCATGTCCTCACCTGACAGATGAGGAAGGACACTGAGGTCCAGAGAGGTTGAGTGACTCGCCTGAGGCCACACTGCTAGGAAATATTGGATAAAATGGCAGGAGGTCAAAGATACACCACCATACCGAGCAGGATACAGAGAGGTTAACGGGGGGAATCCAGGAAGGACGTCTGCTCGGGAAAGGGACTTTGAACAAGTGACTTCATCTTTGAGTCTCGGTTTCCTTGTGTGTCACATGAGAACATCAGTGCCTCTCTTCCTACCCCACTGAATTCTAGGAAGAGTCAAATGTGTTAATGTCTACGAAATGTCTTGAAAACTGCAAATTTATACAGACATGTAATTTATTATAACATTGGAAATGTGAATGAAAGTAAGGCATTCTGAAATGAGCGAAACTCCAGTATTGAGCATACTGAGCTCTGCAGCCGAGTGTGAAATGTAAACAAAGACTAGCAATTAAAATGGACCCTTTTTCTGGAATAAATCTAAAACGCATTCATAGTCCATGCTTGATTTAGGGTTTGCTTTGGAATTCTTACAACTTGTGGAGATTTGCTTCTGAAAAGTTTTAACTGTGTTAATGAAATTATTTGTAGGCCATTTGTTAGACCAAACGTCAGGTTTAAATTACTGAGCCCATTGGGTGATATGCCACACAAAAAATGTAATAAGGAGAGAAACCATAGAACTTATTCATAAAGTACTTTGTCTTCTTGGGTAAAACTCTTTGGGGAAACCGCATGCTCAACTTCTTAATGAATGGAGCCTGTAACATGTGCTGTGTGCCCACGGTGTAATATAGGAGCCCGTGAGAACATCGCCACCTCCTCTACTCAGATGCAGCCTGGAGGAAATTCACAGAGGCTGCAAATGGTAACTATTCGCACTGTTGTCGTCAGGTTCTGCTATAGATTATTAGTTATTATCCTATACACTGTTTAATGTAAATCTTGATAAGCACTAGAAACTTACCAGAAAGATGCAAACTCCAGGCAAAGTAGGCTATATTCTATAACCTGGGTTATTCATTTCTGCAATCAGTTCTACACGTCTGTCCCTGCTCCCTCCCCTGAAGGAACAGGTGCTGTTTCGTGCCACTTAGAGGCCCATCTTCACCAAAGCTCCAGGGTGAATCCAAAGGAGAACAGATATCTACTAGCAGCTTTAGTTGCAGCATCTGGTGAGGTCTGCAGTTCATTGGCTGCCCATGGCTCAGTAATCTTGGTACCCTGGGCCCCCAAGTAGCCTCCCAATTATGCTCATAGTAGATTAATAAAAATGGCCCCAATTCTCCACCCCAGCCTGGGTGCAACTCCCTTGCAATGTGACTTGGAGCTCGTCCAATCATTAGAAGCAATCTCTTCTCCATCTCATGAAGCTGGGCCAGTAGAATCCAGCAGAAGTGATATTGGGTCAATTCTGAGCTTAGGCCTCCAGAGACCTGCATGCATGGGTCCTGGAAACTGCCTTGAGAACTAGCCCAAGCTAGCCTGCTGGATGACGACCGACAATGTGGAAGAGAGACCAGCTGACCTGGTCAAGGCTATTCTACACCAGTGTAAGGCCAGCCAACCCCCAAAGACATGTGCCTATGGTGTGATATAGGATGATCTTATTTCGCCTGGCTGATATCCAGCCAAGATCCACAGAGCTGCCTGCCCAACCCACAGCTGATCACAGACATAAAAATGAGCTGAGCTAGGACCAGAAGAGCTGCTCAGCTGACCGATGAGCAATGATAAATGCTTACTGTATTAAGCACTGAATTTTAGGGTGATTTGTAAGGCAGCAATTCAGCGAATACAACACCTGTCCCTGAGCCTCTCTTCTTCCCCTTCACTCCACTGAGCCAGGCCACAGGATGCATGTCAGCCTCGGTTTCCCTGCCTTGCACTCTGGTTCCTTACTAGGGCTACAGGCTTGCCCTCAACCCCAGTGTGCTTATACAGGGCCTAGGAGATGGCCTAATTCTAATCAGCTCCCTGAAACACTTTTTTTTTTCCCTTCGTACAATGCCCAGGCAGGAGTAGGGTCCTACTAGATCTGTCACCAGCACCTTGACGCATTGTCCTTGTCCCTTTCTGTTATCTTCCTGCTTCTGTGTGTGATCCACTGACTGGCTCACACTTCCTTCTCCCCAAGGACAGATTTTATTGAAATCTGTGCACACTGATCCTGCCCAAGGTCTGACACCAGTAATTCAAAAGCACTGGACCATTCGGTGGAGCTCAGATTGACTCCTGAAGGAACTGGTCCATCAGAATGCTCCAGAAGACACCCTCCCAGCTCAAGGGCCCTTGTGAATGAGTAAACGTTGCCCTTTCATCAACGTTGCCTGAGCCTGAGAGGGGGCTGATACCCACCTGAGAAGCGTCTTGTGGAAAAACTGCATCGAAGGCAAACATCTTTGGAGGAACCTGGTTGCCTCTCTTTTGGAAGGCATTTTGACCTCCACAAGTCAGGGGATCGTACAAGGTGATCTGCTTCTTCCGTGGGTCCACCTTTAAGAAAGAGCTGGATTCTGAAGTATCTCGAGCCAAGGTGGAACAGATGCGAAGCATGACTTTCACCTGTTAAGAAAAGATGGGCGACAGCATGGATGAAGACAGCTGGGTGTTTTACGATGGAGCACCCTTGTATACTCTGCGATATACATGCACATGGCAGCACTGAACTTTCTCAGGATAAATTATGATGAAATGCACAGTGAATTAGCAACATCATCCTTGGTGGGTCACGGGAAAACTGATTTATTTATAATTACCAGGTAGAATATTTTGATATGCCCATTACTTCAATATGGAGCTGGCACATCATGTTCTTTGTCTTCCTATTAATATAAATTGAATATTAACTGCGCCCTCGTGGCCCAATTACACAGATGAAAAGGTAGTCTGGACTGCCAAACTATAGGGGCTGGTGCAGTTTCCTTGAAGCTCACAGATCAATAAACCATGCACATAAAAGTTAGCTCCGTAATTTACTCCTTGGCTCAGCTCATCAGGACTCTGGGAGACAAAAATCCACAGTTATTAGTGTCATCATTAAAGAACCGTGAAATGGCCTGCTTTTAATGGCCAGCATTCGAAATGTGTTCCAAGGGGCAACAGTGATAAAAGACTGGTCTGCGACGTGTTATTTGGGATCCCATTAAGCGAGTGCAGAGAAGTTGTCGTTTCAGAGAATGGAAGTGCATCTCTGGAGGGAGCAGGAGGCGCTGCCCTTTAGCCCACTTTCTGCGTGATTGAACACTGAGCACCTCTGGTACCCACCACCAACCCAGCCCCGTCCTGCAGGCGAGCGAGGTGCTTATGGAAATGCACAGTCAGCCTTGGGGTTCTAAGGTGAACAGAAATCAGGCTGAGGCCTCACACGGGTCTGGAAGCTACAGTCCTGGGAAAAGGGACAGCATTTGCTCTAACTGGCTCTTTGTTACTGTGTTGTGAGTTCAGTCCAACAAATGATGGGCACTTTTTTTGAGCACCTACTATGTGCTGGGCACTGTGCTAGGCATGGGGGATGCAAAGATATGTAATGCATAGAGTAGCAGGATAGACACAGATACAGGTAATTTTAGTAATATGTGGCAACTTCGGAAGGTATGCACAAGGATTATTTCTAAATTCCTCTCTGTGTCTTGTTCTCTTTGTCTCATCAGTTGTCAGGTTTGGTGAAATCTCTGTCATGCAATTTTGAGGAGGAGGGGTGGTTGTAATTTTTAAATAAAATATTTTCAACATATAGAAATGCTCAGAGAATCATAATGTTGTTCAAGACGGAGATCCTCCTGCCAATCTCGACTCTCTCTGCTGAGCGATGAGGACTAATCTGCAGTGAGCAAAGCTGAAGGTAAAGAATCCCAAGGGCACTGGGTCCGCAGGTGTCCTGCACCGTGTCCCCGCTGTGCTTGCCTTCTAACTTAAGAACAGTTCTCCGTGGAGATCCGGAAGCCAGTGTCCCAGTAGAAGGAGCCCGAGTGTGGGACGCACTCTACCTCTGAGGGTTTAGATCTTGCTTCTCACACTGAGGTCATAGAAAGATCCCTGCCATTTTCTCTCATATGCCAGGACTATGCTGTTATCTACACGATCTCATTTAATCCTCCCAATGCTCCAGGGTGTAGGTATGCCTGTCCAGATTTTACAGATGAGAAAACTGTGTTATATAACTTGCCCCACATCACTGAACCTGTGGGTGGAAGACTGGACTTGGATCCCACCTCCAATGCCTACACTTTTTCCATCATGCCAGCTGCTGCCTCCCACAAACAGTCACACTTCTCAGAGCCCCCATTTCCTCACCTGTACAGTAGGAATAACAATGCCCGTCATATGGGCGGCTGTGCAAACTCAGTGAATGGGCATGTAAAGTGCTGAACATGGCCCAGGCTTGTCTTGAACTCCCACCTCTGCCTCCCAAAGCACTGGGTTTACAGGCATGGGTGCCACGCCCAGCCTCAAGCCTTACCATTAACGCTGTGATTGGAAAATGATAAGATATCATGATCCAGGAGGAGGCAAGTCAAGAGAGGAGGGAGGAAGAGATCTAGGAATTGAATGCCCAGCATGTGGGCAGAGGTGGGAGTTCAAGACAAGCCTGGGCAACATGGTGAGAGCCCATCTCTACAAAAAGTTAATTAAAAAAAAATAGCCAGGTGTGATGGTGCACACCTACAGGTGCCAGCTACTTGGGAGGTTGAGGTAGCAGGGTCACTTGAGCTCAGGAGTTCAAGGTTACAGTGAGCTATGATCATGCCACTGCACTCCAGCCTGGGTGACAGAGCGAGACCTTGTCTCTCAAAAACAAAACGGCCAGGCGTGGTGGCTCACGCCTGTAATCCCAGCACTTTGGGAGGCCGAGGCGGGCGGATCACAAGGTCAGGAGATAGAGACCATCCTGGCTAACACGGTGAAACCCCGTCTCTACTAAAAATACAAAAAATTAGCCGGGCATGGTGGCGGGCGCCTGTAGTCCCAGCTACTCGGGAGGCTGAGGCAGAAGAATGGCGTGAACCCGGGAAGCGGAGGTTGTGGTGAGCCAAGATCACGCCATTACACTCCAGCCTGGGCAACAAGAGTGAAACTCTGTATCAAAACAAAACAAAACATGATAAGGTTTTAGAACTCCTTGCCCTGGACTCTGGATAGCGTGAATCACAAGCAGGATACTGTGGGGGATTCCCGACAGACAGAGCTAGTTATGAAGCACTGGGCCCAACAAGGCTCCTATTAGTAAAACACAGTCAAATCCCACACAGCCGCTACATACAGGACAGTAACCAGTAGGTATATCTGCATTCCATTCTGGCAATTTTCTTATTCACTGTGACTTTCTAAGGTCTGATTTCAGTTCCACTCATTCCTACAGATCTGCCCCAGTTACACAGCATGTGTGCTAAGAGCATGCATTCAAGTCGCAACTTTGGGAAGGTCCCTGGGACCTTCAGGCTTTCTGTAAGCAAATCTCCTAGCCCAGCCTCTGAGCATTGCAAGTCAAGGATGATGCAACGCCAGGCAGAGCTGATGGAGCCCACAGCCCACTGCTTTTCTATTTCACAATTTTGCATGCAATTTCTGGGTAACCAGAGGTGCTGAATGTAAAATATGAGCTCAGCCAGGCGAGGGCTGACAAGGAGAAGCGGGAAAGAAGGGGCTGAATGAGTGAGTCATTGGTCCAGAAGGAATGCTCCTGCATCTTAACGAAATCCCGAGCCTGCGGCTCATTTTCTGCAGAGAGGCTGAAGATCCCAGTCGCTGGTCTGGCCAAAGAGATACACACAGTTCTTTAAAAACCCACTGAGCTCCGAGCTGGGGGAAAGGCCACACTCCATTCTTTTCTTTGCAATGCGTCTAAATAAATGGACTTTTTTTTCCCTTAAAGGAAGGAAATTAAGTTTTTCTGCTTCACCTCCTTTGTATCATTATTCCTTTAGTCCGGCACTCCACTTCCTGCTTAATCTGCTATAATTAAAGTGCTTAGGAGATACCACTTGTGATCAAGAAAGTCCCTCGGACTTGTTGCCAGGAGTTCTTGCTTTTGTCACTAACACCCTTAGGTTCTTGGCAACATCTCCTCCAGCCCCGCCTCTCCCTGCTGCTCTCCAGAGAGGGTCCAGGCAGCTGTTAACAGGCACGGCCTTCTCCCCAGCTCTCGGGCTCAAAGGGACGGTCACTATTTCACTCCCAAGGGTAGACCTGCAGGGAATGGGATCCAGAAAGCTAAAGGAACAGCCTGAGTGGTGGCCAGGAAGGCCCCCTGACACCCTGATTCAAGCAAGAAGAGACTGGCATTTCCTGCACCCAAGTCCCCACTGGTCGGGACCTCGCTCTGCCCTGTTTGTTTATTCCACGGATGGATTGGGACAGCTGTTGCTCTGGACAGCAGTTGTCTTTATGTCCTGCTCATTAATCAGTTCAGCACCTTGTTCTGGACGGCATCATGGGGCTGAGGGAGAAAGGAACTGTGAGACACTCACCGAGAGAGGCAGAGCCTCGCTCCCAAACTGCACAGACACTCCATCGACATGGAGGTGATCGCTGCCACACAGCCTGACTGGAGGCTGAGGAGGAGCAGCCCCGTCATCTCTCACCGTGACCACTACACGTGATCACAGCAGACAGATATTCCTGTTTTTCCCTCGTCACGGAGCGTAGCCACATGGTGCACATGTAGGAGGCTCTTCATGGCCTGTTTCTCTACCCAGAAGCTGTCCAGCTAGAGGTTTTCTGCAGACTCAAGCGTTCAGGAGGGCTATGGGCAAATGTGACCACTGGAAGGATCCCTCAGCAGTAAGAAAAAGACTACAGATGATAAGAAGGTGGCAGGAGCAAGGGAGAACTCCATCAGCGCTTCTCATGCATGAGCTTTGTTTCAACTCACTTTGTGGATACCCACAATGAAGGCCCTCTACAGACACACAGGAACCCGAGTCTTGGCCACAATAAATGCCCAGTAAGAGTGTGTAGGTGATGATAAATAGTTTTTACCCCTACAAGGTTCTAGGCTACAGAGTTAATTCACCACTGGCCTCTTCTGATCCCTTATCATCTCTCTATCTGAACTAAAGGAGCATGCTCTAACCCAATACAAGGAAGCTAAGAACCTTGAAAAAAGGTTAGAGGAATTGCTAACTAGAATAGCCAGTTTAGAGAAGAACACAAATGACCTGATGGAGTTGAAAAACACAGCATGAGAACTTCATGAAGCACACACAGTATCAATAGCTGAATCGATCAAGCGGAAGAAAGGATAGCAGAGATTGAAGATCAACTTAGTGAAATAAAGCGTGAAGACAAGATTAGAGAAAAAAGAATGAAAAGGAATGAACAAAGCCTCCAAGAAATATGGAACTATGTGAAAAGACCAAACCTATGTTTGATTGGTGTACCTGAAAGTGATAGGGAGAATGGAACCAAGTTGGAAACCACTCTTCAGGATATTATCCAGGAGAATTTCCTCAAACTAGCAGGACAGGCCAACATTTAAATTCAGAATATATAGAGAACACCAAAAAGATACTCCTCGAGAAGAGCAACCCCAAGACACAAAATCGTCAGATTCACCAAGGTTGAAATGATGGAAAAATGTTATGGGCACTAGAGAGAAAGGTCAGGTTACCCACAAAGGGAAGCCCATCTTCCCTAGACTAACAGCAGATCTCTCTGCAGAAACCCTACAAGCCAGAAGAGGGTGGGGGCCAATAGTCAACACTCTTAAAGAATTTTCAACCCAGAATTTCATATCCAGCCAAACTAAGCTTCATAAGCAAAGGAGAAATAAAATCCCTTACAGACAGGCAAATGCTGAGAGATTTTGTCACCACCAGGCCTGCCTTACAAGAGCTCCTGAAGGAAGCACTAAACATGGAAAGGATCAACTGGTACCAGCCCACTGCACAAAGATACCAAATTGTAAAGACCATTCATGCTATGAAAAAACTGCATCGACTAATGGGAAAAATAACCAGCTAGCATCATAATGACAGGATCAAATTCACACATAACAATATTAACCTTAAATGTAAATGGGCTAAATGCCCCAATTAAAAGATATAGACTGGCAAATTGGATAAAGAGTCAAGACCCATCAGGGTGCTGTATTCAGGAGACCCATCTGAGTCACACATAGCCTCAAAATAAAGGGATGGAGGAAGATTTACCAAGCAAATGGAAAACAAACAAAAAAAGCAAGGGTTGCGGTCGTAGTGTCTGATAAAACAGACTTTAAACCAACAAAGATTAAAAAAAGACAATTAAGGCGTTACATAATGGTAAAGGGGTCAATGCAACAAGCAGAGCTAATGATCCTAAATATATATGCACCCAATACAGGAGCACCCAGATTCGCAAAGCAAATTCTCAGAGACCTACAAAGAGATTTAGACTCCCACACAATAATAGTGGGAGACTTTAACATCCCACTGTCAATATTAGAGCAACGAGACAGAAAATTAATAAGGATATTCAGGGCTTGAACTCAGCTCAGGACTGAGTGAACCTAAAAGACATCTACAGAACTCTCCAACCCAAATCAACAGAATATACATTCTTCTCAGCACCACATATTCTGAAATCGACCACATAATTGGAAGTAAATGCAAAAAAATGAAAATCATAACAAACAGTCTCTCAGACCACACTGCAATCAAATTAGAACTCAGGGTTAAGAAACTCACTCAAAACTGCACAACTACATGGAAACTGAACAACCTGCTTCTGAATGACTATTGGGTAAATAATGAAATGAAGGCAGAAATAAATAATTTCTTTGAAACCAATGAGCACAAAGACACAACATACCAGAATCTCTGGGACACATTTAAAGCAATGTTTAGAGGGAAATTTATAGCACTCAATGTCCACAGGAGAAAGCAGGAAAGATCTAAAATCGACACCCTAACATCACAATTAAAAGAACTAGAGAAGCAAGAGCAAACAGATTCAAAAGCTAGCAGAAGGCAAGAAATAACTAAGATCAGAGCAGAACTGAAGGAAATAGAGACACAAAAAATCCTTCAAAAAATCAATGAATCCAGGAGCTGGTTTTTTGAAAAGATTATCAAAATAGACCGCTAGCCAGACTAACAAAGAAGAAAAGAGAGAAGAATCAAATAGACACAATAAAAAATGATAAAGGGGATATCACCACTGATCCCACAGAAATACAAACTACCGTCAGAGAATACTATGAACACCTCTATGCAAATAAACTACAAAATCTAGAAGAAATGGATAAATTCCTGGACACATACACCCTCCCAAGCCTAAACCAAGAAGAAGTCGAATCCCTGAATAGATCAATATCTAGTTCTGAAATTGAGGCAGTAATTTCGCAGCCTACCAACCAAAAAAAGCCCAGGACCAGACAGATTCACAGCTGAATTCTACCAGAGGTACAAAGAAGAGCTGATACCATTCCTTCTGAAACTATTCCAAACTATAGAAAAAGAGGGACTCCTCCCTAACCCATTTTATGAGGCCAGAATCATCCTGATACCAAAACCTGGCAGAGACACAACAAAAAAAGAAAATTTCAGGCCAATATCCCTGATGAACATCGATGTGAAAATCCTCAATAAAATACTGGCAAACTGAATCCAGCAGCACATCAAAAAGCTTATCCACCACGATCAGGTCGGCTTCATCTTTGGGATGCAAGGCTGGTTCAACATACGCAAATCAATAAATGTAAGCCATCACATAAACAGAACGAATGACAAAAACCACGATTATCTCAATAGATGCAGAAAAGGCCTTCAACAAAATTCAACACCCCTTCATGCTAAAAACTCTCAGTAAATTAGGTATCGATGAAACGTTTCTCAAAATAATAAGAGCTATTTATGACAAACCCACAGCCAATATCATACTGAATAGGCAAAAGCTGGAAGCATTCCCTTTGAAAACCAGCACAATACAAGAATGCCCTCTCTCACCACTCCTATTCAATATGGTATTGGAAGTTCTGGCCAGGGCGATCAGGCAAGAGAAAGAAATAAAGGGTATCCAAATAGGAAGAGAGTAAGTCAAATTGCCTGTTTGCAGATAACATGATTCTATATTTAGAAAACCCCGTCGTCTCAGCCCAAAATCTCCTTAAGCTGATAAGCAAATTCAGGAAAGTCACAGGATACAAAATCATTGTGCAAAAATCACAAGCCTTCCTATACACCAGTAATAGACAGAGAGCCAAATCATGAGTGAACTCCCATTCACAATTGCTACAAAGAGAATAAAATACCTAGGAATACAACTTACAAGGGATGTGAAGGACCTCTTCAAGGGGAAATACAAACCACTGCTCAAGAAAATAAGAGAGGACACAAACAAATGGAAAAACATTCTATGCTTATGGAAAGGAAGAAACAATATCGTGAATATGGCCACACTGCCCAAAATAATTTATAGATTCAATGCTATTCCCACCAAGCTACCATTGACTTTCTTCATAGAATTAGAAAAAACTACTTTAAATTTCATTTGGAACCAAAAAAGAGCCCATATAGCCAAGACAATCCTAAGCAAAAAGAACAAAGCTGGAGGCATCACGCTACCTGACCTCAAATTATACTACAAGGCTACACTAACCAAAACAGCATGGTACTGGTACCAAAACAGAGATATAGACAAATGTAACAGAACAGAGGCCTCAGAAATAACACCACACATCTACAATAATCTGGTCTTTGACAAACCTGACAAAACAAGCAATGGGGAAAGGATTCCCTATTTAATAAATGGTGTTGGGAAAACTGGCTAGCCATATGCAGAAAACTGAAACCGGACCCCTTCCTTATACCTTATACAAAAAGTAACTCAAGTTGGATTAAAGACTTAAATGTAAGACCTAAAACCATAAAACACCCTAGACAAAAATCTAGGCAATACCATTCAGGACATAGGCATGGGCAAAGACTTCATGTCTAAAACACCAAAAGCAATGGCAACAAAAGCCAAAATTGACAAATGGGATCTAATTAAACTAAGAGCTTCTGCACAGCAAAAGAAACTATCATCAGAGTGAACAGGCAACCTACAGAATGGAAGAAAATTTTTGCAATCTATTCATCTGACATAGGGCTAATATCCAGAATCTACAAAGAACTTAAACAAATTTACAAGAAAAAAACAAACCCATCAAAAAGCGGGAGAAGGATATGAACAGACACTTCTCAAAAGAAAACATTTATGTGGCCAACAAACATATGAAAAAAAGCTCATCATCACTGGTCATTAGGGAAATGCAAAGCAACACCACAATGAGATACCATCTCACACCAGTTAGAATGGCGATCATTAAAAAGTGAGGAAACAACAGATGCTGGAGAGGATGTGGAGAAATAGCAATGCTTTTACACTTTTGGTGGGAGTGTAAATTAGTTCAACCATTGTGGAAGACAGTGTGGTGATTCCTCAAGGATCTAGAACCAGAAATACCATTTGACCCAGCAATCCCATTACTGGGTATATACCCAAAGGATTATAAATCATTCTACTATAAAGACACATGCACACGTATGTTTATTGTGGCACTGTTCACAATAGCAAAGACTTGGAACCAACCCAAATGCCCATCAATGATAGACAGAATAAAGAAAATGTGGCACATATACACCATGGAATACTATGCAGCCATAAAAAAGGATGAGTTCATGTCCTTTGCAGGGACATGGATGAAGCAGGAAACCATCATTCTCAGCAAACTAATACAGGAATAGAAAACCAAACACTGCATGTTCTCACTCATAAGTGGGAGTTGAACAATGAGAATACATGGACACAGGGAGGGGAACATCATACACCGGGGCCTGTTGGGGGCTGGGGAGCTAGGGGAGGGATAGCATTAGGAGAAATACCTAATGTAGATGACGGGTTGATGGGTGCAGCAAACCACCATGGCATGTGTATACCTATGTAACAAACCTGCACATTCTATACATGTATCCCAGAACTGAAAGTATAATTAAAAAACAAAAAACAAACCCAGGTTTTATAAAAGGAAAAGATTTGAATACTTTTCTGGTAAAATTTCCATCAGTGATCTAAAATTGCTTCTTCCAAAGGAAGATCTTTTTGATTCCATATGACTGAAAGACTCCAGAAGTTTTTTGGGGTACCAAAGAGTCATATTCCAGATGGCAATGATCATGGAGGTCTTACATAACTCCAATGCCAGGAAATCCAGGGGACAACTAAGGAGGCTGTGATCCCTCAATTCAGAGGGAGCTTTTAAACATATTTTACAAAGCCATTGCTCCATCAACCCATAGTTACCATTACAGAACCACAGACCCATGCCTGAAAGGACCCCAGAGACTCTGAGCACAGTTCAGTTATGAGTTACAGAACAAAAGTAAATTGGCTTAAATTTCTTTGCCCAAACAAAACACACAATAATAATCCTGCATGACATGTTCAAAGATCAGGGGGCTTTATCCACCTGGAGAAAGTCCAAAGCCATATGATTCCATGCTGAGTTTGGGGGTGGGAGGGCAGATGAGGGGGCTGGGGTGCCCTCCAGGCCTACTTTGGGGCAGCGACTGCTCCGTGTTGACCAAATCAATCAATCATCCATCAGCAACACCACCACAACTTCTTTACAAGTTTTACAAATCTTACAGTTTATACAGACTTTTCTCGTATCTTACTTCCATTTGGTTGCCCCATAACTGCTTTGTTAAGGGGATATTATTATAATAATTATTACCATCTTTCCTATTTTGAGGCTGCAGAGATTGACTTGCTCAAAGGCACCTGCCTGGCGAAGGTGGAAGGGCCCTGGCCCTGGACTGCTCTTCCCTCCATGAGCATCTTGGGTCATAGCCAGAGCGGAGCCATCTCTCAGGAGACTGGGGCGGGCAGTGGGGCCTGCGCCTGCACCCTGGGCGGCTGGCTTCTCCGAGGTGCCGCTGGGTGAGCTCCCGTGGTGCCAGACAGCAAATAATGAGCAGCGATGCCATCAGAGAGGGAAGATTTGCATTATTAAAAACCGGGCCGGGAAAGGTGACAAGTGGTGGCACAATAAAGCTAAGTGTGAGGGAGCATGTGCAGGACGGGAGAATGGAGCCCGGTAATGAGATGTGCTCTAAGAAGCGCTTCGGGGAGCGGAGGGGGAAGGAAATTCCCTAAAGGTCTTCATCAACACGAGTCTGTCACCAGGCAAGCCCGGCAAGGGACTGCGCGCTGGAGGGAGGGAGTTGAAACCAAGGAAGAAAGCCCTTCCCCGTGAGGCACTGCTAATGGCCGGCAGGCTTGGGGGGCCAGGTCCCCCCACCAATTAGCAGGCGTGGGACAGGGCTGGCCAGGCTGCAAGGATGGAGACAGACACATGTCGGGGGCTGGTCTGTCAGAAAGGATTGGGACTCTGACGGTGGCCTAGTTAGAAGGGGCCTCATCCTCAGCTTGTTGTATTAGGGAACTGATTTTAAATGGATGAGCTGGTGTAAAGATGCATCCAGAGACAGGCGTTCTCAGGTGTGAATGAAGTGGGGAATGGGATTCTGAGGCATGCCTGATGACCCACTCCGACCTCAGTGACACTCGCTGTCAGAGCGTCCCATCTGCGACTTACAGGGCACATGGCCTAGAGCTTGGGGGCACAGGCTCTGGAGACAGGCGGCCTGGGTTTGAGTGCTGGCTGTACGTTGATCAGTATGTGTCCATGCACGAGTGTTTAACCTCCTCTGTCCACATCTATAAATCGGCCATAATAACAGTACTGGCCTAGCAGAGTTACTGTGATCATTAAAAGAGCAAATGCCCATAACATCCCTTTCCACAATGTCAGTGACATAGTAAGTGCTCAGTAAATATTAGCTATTATTACTTTTTACTGAGGCTACTGGAAAGACTATGAACTCTGAAGGCAGACAGATCCTGACTCTTGGTCGCTGTGTGACCAGGAATATATTATTTTAACATAGTTTCCTCATTAGTAAAATGGCGATAATAATGCCTATCTTGAAGGACTTACGTGACTATTAAGCAAATAATTATCCTAAGCACTTAAAACAAAGTACGTCCTCAATAAATAATAATTGCCAACATATTGAACCCATGTCCATGACAGTGTTGTAAGAGCCCATTCCTCACTGCTTCCCTGGATCTCCCTTTAACCACGTTTGACCTAGGAGTTCAGGAGACCTAATCATTAGATTCTGAATCATCCTACACTCACAGAGCTGAGACAGACACCACACTTGCCCAACGTCATCCAATTTTTTTTTTTTTTTTTCTTTTTTTTGAGACAGGATCTCACTGTCACCCAGGCTGGAGTGCACTGGTGTGAGCTCTGCTCACTGCAACCGCTGCCTCCCAGGCTCAAGTGATCCTCCCACTTCAGCCTCCCAAGTAGCTAGGATGACGCACACATACAACCACACCCAGCTAATTTTTAAATTTCTTGTACAGACAGGGTTTTTCTATGTTGTCCGGGCTGGTCTTGAACTCCTGGACTCAAGTGATCCTCCTGCCTTGGACTCCCAACGTGCTGGGAATACAGGCGTGAGCCACCGTGCCCGGCCTGGACGCCCAGTTTTTATAGACGCGGGTTACACTAAGGTCTTCCAACTTCCACCACGCTCTTCTGCCTGATTTTTGGTAAACACTGGGTAAGTGACAACTGGAGGTTTTTCTGAATACTTGGTAGAAAAACTACTGTGAGTAGAAATGGTAAATATCCATTGGAAAGAGAAAATATTTAATAGCACAGAAGGAATTTTTGAGAAAGCAGCAGTGGACGCTCCTTAATTAGAATTTTTTTAGATGTGTTCAGTTTGGATTTTGGCACTTATTGTGAATAAAGGGCCCATTTCCGCGTTGGCCGTCCCCTCCCGCGGGGCCCAGCCGCCCCGGGGGCACAAACCCGGGACCCCAGGGACCCCGGGACCCTGCGCATGCGCGGCACGGTGCGGCCAGGGGCCCCGACCCCTGCTCTGACTCGCCGGGTGGTTTGTGCTTCCACCGGCGCCTCGGCCTCCCCTTGCAGGCCTCCCTGCCACGTTGGGCACCCCCACCCCCCGACCCCGCGGGGCCCAGCCGCCACAGAGGCGGCTTATTGTTAATAAAGGGCCCACATGAGTAAAGCTCACTCATGTGTTACGACTGTCGTTAAATAGCAAACAGTCAAGAGATGCTGCGTCTGCAGACGCAGACTCGTCTGTCAGCACAGAGATGCTATTTGGCTTGGAGAACAACAGGACCCAGGCAAAGCTGCTTTTCTTCTCTGCAGCTCACTGCATGATCAATATGAAAACTTGAGCTTGCTAACATGGCACCCGATTTAGTGTCTTCTGTACCTCCTTGCCACAGTCTCTCCACTTCTGAGAATTTCAATATCCCACTGCTTCTGGCCTTTCACCTAGATCAGTAACGTCCAGAACTCTGAAAAGAAGTAACTCAGTCTGGTGTCTGCCCAGAAATACCAGCTACCAGATCCACCGTGGAGTTTGGCAAAGCACCGTAATCAACAACCTAGTTATCTAAGACAAAGAGGCAATGACCACACTCGCCTAATAATTAGGTATACTGGATGTCTTTCTGGCGTTGTTCCCCAAAGTCCATTTTCTTTATAAAACTGTCTTTGAGGAAAACGGTCTGTGCTGGCTCCCAAGTTCCATTAAATGTGTGCAGCTCCCATGAGATGATAATTTTGTTCCTGGCAGTGGCACGTACGGAGGAGACCTGCAGAAGGAGCTAGGGGTGACAGCATCAGCCCCCTTCTCAGTGCCGCCTGGGGACAGATGGCAGGCACGTAAATACAGACCGCATTCAGTTCATCATAAAGGCCTTGCCAGCCTGCGAGATCACAGCCTGGTGGTGAAAAGAAGGCGTCCTTCTCCAGGCCCACTGCGGAAGGTGGGAAGCCCTTTCTAAAATACCCCTGGGCAGTGGGCTATTTCTCCAGCCTGGGACTCTGCAGCTTAGTTCCAGGAAGGAGAGGAAGGAAGAATCCAAGAAACTAAGGGAATTGCCCTAGTAAGGAAAACCACCGAAGGGATCTTTTGGGTCAAGAGGTGGAAATCTGGAACGGTCTTATCTAAAATGTAGGATGTTAGGTAAATTTAACTTTCTTAAGAGCCCGACGTATACTGAATGGATCACTGCACCAAACGCTACGTTCTCGTAACTTCCCCACACTAAAAGAGGGGAGAAGAGGGAGTCAGAAGGAGGAACAGAGAAATTATGCCACTATCCCTGGGACTTGGTACATCTTAGATACTTTCATTCTCATTCAACCAATAAGTAAGAGCAAGAACGTCCAGTAACTGCCCACAGTTACCCCAATTCTTTCCCCATCAGTTCTTCCAAAAGGCCCCCTTTCCCAGGACTGCATCTGTTCAATTCCACTCAGCATGTGTTGAACACACAGTATGTACAATGCCCTGAGCCAGCGAGGGGCAGGAAGGAGACCCAGAGGATGGGGAACCAGTTGGGTTTACGCATAAAACAAAAGGGAGATGGTGGCATTTCCACGTAAGAGTTCCTTCATTTTCAAGTTTTAGGTTTGGAACAAAAGCAACTTTAATTCTCTGCTTAGCTCCAATGAGTCCCAGTCATCCTGCTGCCATCTTGTTGGAAGGACTGGAGGGGGTCTGAGTGCAGGGGACAGCCTGGGTGAAGTGAAGGACGGGTTGATAAGAAGAGGGGCCCAGTGAAGCCCAGCTGGAGGAAAGGAGCAAACGCTAATGAGACGCTCCGCCACCTCCCGCCAGAGGCAAGCCACTGACTGCCCCTTTAATTCCCTTCACCGCCCCTCCGCCTGGCAGAGAAGTGCTTGCTGGCAGTGGGAGACTCAAAGCAGCAGGAGTTCAAAGCAGAATGGTAAGTTCTAATACGGAGGATCATTAGGAGGACGTGTCTTCTCTTTATTTTCTTCTTAAAATGTGTATATGGAAGATCAGATGGGGGTTAGGGAGGGAAGTACCAACTCAATGTGAAAATTACCTAATCCCAGTCTGTTCCAGTGTGCATATCATAAGCATTAAACAAAAAGCCTCACCAAATTAAAGTATATGCCGTATTCCAACAATGATAATCCCCTCTGCATGAAAGGCTGGGGCTGTGGAGGAGGCTGAGGGGAGCGTTTCCTCTGTAGCCGAGGGGCTTGGAAACCTTTAATGAAAGGCACCTGATCAATAAGGCAGACTCCTGCATTTGAGAACTTAAAAGCCTTCCTAGCACACTGTGTCTGAAGGAAACGTCAGAAGCATTTATCATGTGCTGGGACGGATGCTTTGCAGCTGCTGCTTGCCAAACTATAGATGTTAACTTTTCTTCAGCCCTGCAAATACTCTCACCAGGCCTTTTCTCTTCATACGGAATCAGCTTTCCTCCAAGACCAGAATGCAGTTGGAGGTTTGATCACGGCTCTGTAGAACAGTCCCCACTACCAGGCACTGAGACTGCAAAGTGGTCCCAGCCTGAAGCTTTGTTTCAGAGCTCTGGCTTACGTAGAGCTGTCTGATCTTGCCTTCAAGGTGAACCTACAAACTACACTTTTGTATTTCCAAAGCACTCAAGCTGCTGTTCCCTAATTGAGGCACTGTGCACAGTTCATCTTGTTTGGACTTAGAAACCTCAGTCTAGAAGAAACTAGCCCAAGGGATACAGACGGGACGGAACAATGGCCGGCAGCTCTCCCGGACTCCTGGCCACTCCCCAAATGAGTCTAGAAGATAAGCAACCAGGTGAGAAATCCATTCCTTCCTTCACTAAGCATCTGTTAAGTACCCCTTAATCTGGTCCAGGTACTGTGCGAGGCTCTGGGGTTATAAAGAGCTTAAAAACGAGTTGCTGTCTTCAAGGGGCTTACGGTTTATCAGGTGAGACAATAAAAAAACACCCCAGCATAATAGAGTAGTACAAAAGAGTTGTGTACTGGGGTTCAGTGAGGACCCAAATGAGGGGGCATTTCCACTTGGGGCCAGGAAAGATTTCATAAATATGTTCATGGATGAGGTTCAGAAGAGGACTCAGTGTCAGCTGTGCGCTCTAGGTGAGTGGGCAGCATGGCCAAGGTGCAGGGGGGCAGGCTGACCGGTGTCTTGGAACCTGCAAGTAGCCATGGGGCTTGGGGCAAGGTACTTCTATGAGCCTCAGTTTCCTCACCCGTATGATGGGATGGCAATCATGCCTCCACCTGAGAGAAGTTGTGATGAGGATTAAATGAGATAATGCATGAGAAGTTCTCGGCAAATAGCCCGGCACGTGGGAAGGGCTCAGTGAGTATTGTTTGATGTTTTTTTTTTTTTTTTTGAGACGGAGTCTCGCTCTGTCACCCAGGCCGGACTGCGGACTGCAGTGGCGCAATCTCGGCTCACTGCAAGCTCCGCTTCCCGGGTTCACGCCATTCTCCTGCCTCAGCCTCCCGAGTAGCTGGGACTACAGGCGCCCGCCACCGCGCCCGGCTAATTTTTTGTATTTTTTTTAGTAGAGACGGGGTTTCACCTTGTTAGCCAGGATGGTCTCGATCTCCTGACCTCATGATCCACCCGCCTCGGCCTCCCAAAGTGCTGGGATTACAGGCGTGAGCCACCGCGCCCGGCCTGTTTGATGTTTGACTGTAGTTGAGGGTGGAGGAGAAGTAAGAAATTTGGCTGGAAGAATAGAGGAATGACAAATTGTGGAGGGACTCCTTTCCTCAAACTAAAAAGTCTGTACTTAACCCAGACAACAGAGGGCCACTGGAGGGACAGAGAAGGAAAATAACTGGGTGATTACCACTGCTCTGTAATCACAAAACTCCAGGTGTTAATTTCTCCATCTGTAAAATAATGCTAATAACACCACCAACTTTCTTCCAATTTGGAGTGTTATGAAGTTAGTTATAGATGGGCCAGGTGGCTCATGCCTGCAATCCCAGCACTTTGGGAGGCCAGGGTAGGATAATTGCTTTAGGCCAGGAGTTTGAAATCAGCAACATAGCAAGACCCCGTCTCTATTAAAACAAACACACACACACACACACACACACACACACACACACACACTGGTCATGGTGGTGTGTGCCTATAGTGCCAGCTACTTGGGAGGCTGAGGCAGGAGGAGCACTTGAACCTAGAAGTTTGAGGTTATAGTGAGCTATGATCACACAGCACTGCATTCCAGCCTGGGTCACAGAGGCAGACCCTGTCTCTAAAAACATTAAAAAACTAAAAAAATGTATTCTAAGTGAAGCTAAAGATGAAAATGTTTGTGCAACTTGCACTTCCACAGCACAGCATTTTTAAATGTGTCGACTACGTGTTCAATGAGTTTTCTGCAGGGATTGTGTAGATGACACAACTGTAGTTAAGAGTCGGCTGTATGCATGCTAGTAGCAGCCATGTGATTGGCATGAAGGATAATGAATCAGTCAACCAACAAATGAATATTTATTAAATGCTGATGAGTAATGCAGTCTCCTTTACCTAGGAAACCTAAGGATGACAATGTATTTGAATTCATGGAAAGAATCAGAGACAGATCTGCTTCGGAACTCTCGAGAAGAGAAAGCTTGTTTTACAGTAATATACATAAATCCACAGGATGTAGGCTGCACTCCTCTAGCCATGGAATAGAACATACTGGAGGTAGCTAGGGAGCTGCCTGACAGAGAAACATCTTTTTTTTTTTTCCCTAGTGGAGAAGGAACGGCAGCCCTGGCTCCTCCATCCTCAGGATCACGTATTAATTAGCTCACCGACTAGACAGACATTTCTCTGTCCTGCCTCTGACTCATACTCCAAGTTAGTGATTGGGTTTCTGTCTCCTAACGGAAACAGCACAGACTCTTTACTTTGTAAACTTTTATAAGGCAATTGGCCACCTAATTTGAACTCCCTAGACACGTTTTTGTTTAAACAACTGTGGGTTGCAGGGAATTGGTTTCACATACGCACACAAAGGAAAACTCTTATTTTCTTACCAAGAACGGTGCATAGTTTAAGTTCTCAGACTTCATGTTGAAACACAGATTGTTGGTTTCCCCTCCCAGAGTTTCTGATTCAGTGGGTCTGGGGTAGGGCCTGACAATTTGCATTTCTAACAGTTTCCAGCTGATGGGGATCATGCTGGTCTGGGGACCACACTTGAGACCCACTGCTCAGGAGGCATGTTGGCCAAATCCTTGTGGAATCTTTCCCTCAAAATCTATTGCAAATTAAAAACACAGTGGAGGTGAATGTTATATCCTGGGAAAATGCCAATCTTATCAATTTAAAAGATTCTAGTAACTAAAGAAAGAATGTTTCTATGGTGTCAAAATCGAAGTGGCTTCTGACTCTATTCCTCAGTTGTACTTGAAAAAAATTCTTGAGTTCTAAACTGAAATAAAATAAATGTTTACCTTAGGAAGGATCAATAGGCTAAAGAATTTTTCTTTTAAAAGTTGTACAACTCCTGGATCTATATTTATTTGGTTCTGTAGCTTTTTTCTCTCATTGCTTTTATTACTATCGTAGAAGCATAAACTGCCCGCGATAGAATCCAAACCAACTCTTCCTATAGGTTCTTTTCTTTTTCTCTTTCCTCAAATAAACAATTCATTGGAATCGTACCAAAATGATACTCATTAGGAAGCCAAAATTAAAGGAAACCAGTAATTGCTCTGGGACCATCTTTCCTCCTAGAGGACACTGTTCTGGCACTGAAACTGTGTGCACATGAGTGTGTTTGAGGATAATCTTTAGCACTTCCATTCAACAATTTCTAGAGTCAAGAAGCATGTATAGTTGGATAAGACGGTCAATGTTTATTTCATGTGGAAAACAATTATTGTATTAGGCCGTTCTTGCATTGCTATAAAGAAATACCCAAGTCTGGGTATTTATAAAGAAAAGAGGTTTAATTGGCTCATGGTTCTGCAGGCTGTGTATGCATGACACTGGCATCTGCTCAGCCTCTAGGGAAGCCTCAGGGAGCTCTGACTCAAGTTGGAAGGTGAAGTGGGAGCAGGCACATCACGTGATGAGAATGGGAGCATGAGACGGGGCAGGAAACACACACTTTTAAATGACCGGATCTTGGGAGAACTCACTATCATGAGGATGGCACCGAGTCACGAGGGATCCATGATGCAGTCACCTCCCGCCAGGCCCCACCTCCAGCACTGGGGATTAACAGTGAACATGAGATTTGGGCGGGGACAAATACTTGAACTATATCAGTTATTAAAATCAGAAGACTTAGGATAATTTCCCCAGGGAAAGATCCTCTGCTTCTACAGAGGGTCCTTTTGTGAACTGTGAACGGTGAACTGCTCCACAGTTCATCCAGAATGATGTTTGGATTTGGTGGAAGCATTCCAGAATATGCCAGTCCTTCAAAACAGGGAGCCCTCACTGGGCAGGGTAGAGGAGATGCAAAGTCATGCTTCGTTGGGTAAGCGAACACTGGCCACCTTCCAGCTGTTTTTTCCAGCTTTGACACACCGAAAGTGAGGTGGTGATGTAACCCAGGCCTGCCCTGAAGCCCATTCGTGTACCACGGATCTTATTATGATACCACCCACCTACAATACAGCCCAGACGGCAACAGGTCCTCCGGCAGCATTGGAGAGGGCTCTAGTGAACTCCACCTAGAACCAGCTGATTTAACGAACTCTCATTCATGATAAGAAACATTCGTCTATAAAATGGAGTAAACGAGAATATAATGAATTTCCCCCAGCAGGTCAAGGTCAGGCTTGGGTATCTGGGTGGGGAACTGATGGTGGCAGGCAGCTCATGCAGAGAGAGAGAGTCTCAGCCAGGCTTGGCCCCGGAGATGGTTTCAAATCTGGAAGTTTCAGGCTCCAGTGAAAAACTCATTTTCAAATGTGTAAGGCTGTGAGTGCCTTGAAAGCAAGCCTGTGTGTTACTCATCTCCACAAGCCCAGCATCGCTCACGTGCCTTTCACACCACTGGAGCTCAGCTCTGCAGGACCAGTAGATCTTTAAGTCCGGGTAGAAAACTGGAGACACGAGTATTCAGCAACGGGATCTTCCCTGGGAATGCTCCGGATATGAAAGGAGATACGAAGGAAGAGAAAGAAAGCTCTACAAATAATAATGACAAATTAGATCGAAGGTTGGAAATGTTTTAAAAGCAATCTGCCCAGACTCTAAATCCTTTCTTCTTCTATTTTCAGGGGGTGAGTAGGGGGTGGTTACGCTGGCTGGGTTGCATGTGTCTGAATTATGGCCGCTGCCACCTCTGAGAGAGAGTGGGGGATGGAGTTGTTTTGCGGGGTGCAGGGAGAGAGGAAGGATGCTGGCCACTCTCATGCTCCGTGTCACTCATGCATTGGTTTAAATTCAGCACGCATCTGCAGATGGCTCACCTCTGCCTTGCTCTGTGGCAATCCTGACAGCTGCCCTCTAAGGTGGGCATATTATTGTTAAGTAGGAGACAGGTTCAAAGGAGCAAAAGGCTTCCCTAGGGTCTCACAAAAAGCAGGTGGCAGAAATGGGATTGAAACCCAGCCCTGACTCTAGGTCCTGTGCATTTTCTTTTCTACCACAATTGTCTGCCTGGGGAGACAGACGATAAGCATAAATCCTCTCGATCAAGCCCAGCCTATTGCATATAAATTGTGCACAAAACAGACCCCACACTGTATATATTTATGGTTGCTTTGCAAGTTTTATGGAACGAGTTAAAGTCGTTTTTTCCTTGTGCTGCTGTGGTTCAGTAATGCTGAAACATATTTCAGCACTTAAAAAAAAAAGCACAGGCTATGATTAAGTATATTAAGAGACTTTTAAAACTTAGATTAACGGCCTGGTAAGTTGTAAAACAACTCAAAATTGTGCAAATTTGTATTCAGGGATTTTCTAAAATTATAAGTTATTGACTTGATACATTGTAACAAGTCCTTTGAAACTGTTCTGCTCCTATTATCCAGATCTTTACTGTGTGGTTTATTGACAGAGTGAGGAACACAATGACCCCCTTGACGGGCACGTGGTAAATTCACAGCTCGTGTAGCTCTCGCTGAAGAGGACCTGCTCATCATTCAGCAAACACAGACATGAAGTTCAGCATCGGGCTCCCTGGTGTGTCTGACGGATGGGACTTCCAAAGGCTGTAAAGGTCCTTGCTCAAGTCTCAGCAGTTGCCTGGATGTAGCAGTTACACCAAGTACTTGAGTACCAGTAAAATGGCAGTTACTCCACACTGTTCACTTGGAGAATAACTGCCACTTCATGCTTATTGCTTATTTATTTCCTTCCTTCCTTCCTTCCTTCCTTCCTTCCTTCCTCTTTCTCTCTTTGACAGGGTCTCTCTCTGTTGCAGAAGCTGGAGTGCAGTGGCCCAATCTCAGCTCACTGTGGCCTCGGCCTTCTGGGCTCAAGAAATCCTCCCACCTCAGCCTCCCAAAGTGCTGGGATTACAGGCATGAGCTACCACAGCCTGCCTTGTTGGGTTTCTAGACAAGGTCCCTGAGACCCAGAAAGGTAAAGTGATATACAAAGTTCAATAATTACATGTGGTGAAGCCAGCGTAGCATCCACACCTCCTCCCTCCCCATTTAATGTCTTTTCACCAGAGAGCATGTGTTAATGAGGCTGTGGTTGTAGACTCTTATAGGAACTGAAGACCTGTAAGACCCATATCCCAGTTAGCCATCTTACAAACAGAAGCATTCACTGAATATATGTCCAGGCGAGAGAATAGGTGGCTGTAAGAAAACTGACCCCATTCTTTGAAACAAACACACGCAAGCTTCTTTCTCTATCTATCTACCTATCTTCTATTTCTCTATTATCTATCTATCTATCTTTCTTTCTTTCTTCATCACTATAATGCTCAAGAATATATTTGCAGCAAAACCCAATGCTATTCTGATCAAGAGCAAAGCCATCAATAGCTCTTGGTTGGAACTTGGGAAAAAACTGGGCATAGAGAGCCTGGTGAATACTTATCCAGGTGATACCAACTGTTGTAGGTCTCTTGAGTGTGGACCATGTATCTGAAGAAACAATTGTTTAAATGTTACTCAAAGGACCAAAAGGATGGATGTCCAAAGGGTGAGCATTTGATTTCTCCTCATGTGTGGAACTTGCCTTTTAGTGACCTGGCTGATGAGTGGCCAACGCTCTTCCTGTGCCATTGTGTCCCACACAGCCAGAATTTAATCATGCAGGAGCTGCTGGAAAGATGCTCTATGCAGAGAGAAATTAATGGAATGAACTCAGGACAAAACCCTTGTCTCGGGTCTGCGTCATTCTAATAGCAGAACAAACTTCATGCTGTCAGCAGCAAAAGAGATGACTGGAAATCACCTTTAGCTTTTCCATCCATTATGACAGCATGGGCAGAACGAGGAAGGAGGACAGCAAACAGGATGAGAAACCACAGATGAGGTGGCAGGCAGGAGGCATGCGCTGTATCCATCCAAGGACAAAGAGAGGTGGCAGGAGCTAAGGGTAAGTAAGGAGGGCTTTTAAGCTCCAGGAAGCGAAAGACTGTTCTAATCCATGCTGAGCCAATTTTCCTCCGTGCCCTCCAGACTCAGTCTCCACCCTTTTCCACTCTCCTGGTGTCCAGGGAGTGGGCCTGCCTGGACTGCATCAGCAGAACCCCCTTGCCCTCTGGAGGGAGGAGGCGAGTCCGGAGGCTCCGCCACACCTTCCTTTCCTCTGTCCCCCCAACATGGTTCCCTCCTTTTGACCCTTCGGACCTAGGCCATCCTGGCACTCTGCTATGACTAGCCCTGGTCTATCTAATTAGCCCTTTTCATTTTCTACACTCCATCCATACTTTTCTAAATAGTCCCGATCTAAGTGTGGTGTCTTTCTCCTGTCAGACCCCAACGGAAACACCTGCTCACTCGGGTAGTATCTTTTTCTCTGTTTGCATTTGCAAGCAAGGACTGTTCTTGGGGAAGGAGAGGGAGGACAGAAGAGAGTCTCATTCTGATGTCCCACTGGCAAAGGGAAGATCATGCCTGTGGAGTGCAGAAGGGGCAAATGGATAGGAAATATTGGGTGGGCACATTGGGGGTTTTAGCGTGTTATGACGCAGCATTGTTTTGCAAAGGCAGAGTTCTTTCCCAGCTGTTACAGCAGTTATGCTCAGAGCATTATGGTAATGACAGCTGACACAGTGATTATCGGCACGGTACAGCTGGAAAAACATGGCAGAGGGGAGTGGGCAGAGGTATCCAAACCTCAGGTACCTCAGGGGCAGACCCTAGAGGAAACCCGTGTCTCATGGAATGCTCACGTCTCCTTGACTGAGAGGGCCAGCCCGCCACCACTGTTCCTCCAAGGGGGAAACCTTCAGAAATAGACTGGTATTCATGAAAATCAAAGCTCTTTTTTTTTTTTTTTCTTTGAGATGAAGTTTCACTCTTGTTGCCCAGGCTGGAGTGCAATGGCGCAATCTCGGCTCACCGCAACCTCCACCTTCCAGGTTCAAGTGATTCTCCTGCCTCAGCCTCCCAAGCAGCTGGGATTACAGGCATGTGCCACCACACCGGGCTAATTTGGTTTGTTTGTTTGTTTGTTTGTTTGTTTGTTTGTTTTTTGTATTTTTAGTAGAGATGGGGTTTCTCCATGTTGGTTAGGCTGGTCTGGAACTCCCGACCTCAGGTGATCCACCCGCCTCAGCCTCCCAAAGTGCTGGGATTACAGGCGTTGAGCCACTGCACCCAGCCAAGCCTCCTTTTTAAATTTTCTTTTTTTAGAGACAGAGTCTAGCTCTGTCGCTCAGGCTGGAGTGCAGTGGTACAATCATAGCTCACTGCAGCCTTGAACTCCTGGGCTGCAGTGGTCCTCCCGCCTCAGCCTCCTGAGTAGCTGGGACTACAGATGCACCCTACTGCACCTGGCTCTCCTTTTTCAAAACTTAATTTGTTGCTATTTTTTTTTCCTAGAAAATTTCAACTGTAGGGATAAACACTAATTTTTCTTTGTGCAAAGTTTCCAGAATGTTCTTCGTTTAACTGGTGGAAAATAAAGCATTGTGATCCACACACCAATAGCAATGAAATATAGCTCACAGAATCCATCTAATTTGTTTTTCCCTCTGGATTATGACCAGGTGGCTAGGAAGAAAATAACTCAAAGACAGAGAATACCCTACTGTTCATTCATTCAAAAAATGAAAAGGAAACAGGACAGGAAAAGTTTAGAAAGGACTTTTTTTCCCTAAAG
The DNA here is from genome assembly GCF_000001405.40 of Homo sapiens. NCBI lineage: Eukaryota > Metazoa > Chordata > Mammalia > Primates > Hominidae > Homo > Homo sapiens. The sequence continues at coordinate 245,579,027 of NC_000001.11, read as the reverse complement.
CAATGATTTATGAGGATAAAAACCACAGTTTCTAGTAGCATAACCAGAAACTATTTTCTCTCAGTTCATTAACTCTGTTCTTAGAGCCTGTTTTTCCAACCCAAAAGTCATTTCATGTAATAGTTCAGTTTCTATTTTGTTATTTCTGGCATCACTAAGACAAAGACCCAGAGAGTTGAATGAAGTTGCTGCTTTGCATGTAGGCACAGCCACTAAATGAAATCCTGTGTCTAGAGGAAAGGCACCTTGGACCAGCCTGGTGGACCTTACGAGCTATAGATGGAGCTCAAAAAACAAATGTTAAAATCGGCTCCATCCACAGCCCCAGTAACAGAATTCTTTTACCTTTATACAAGGGAAACACAGGTTCATACCTGGCTCCAGAATTAGGCCCAGCAGGAAAGCTTCTAATCTCTCAGCTATGAAATCCCTGGAAATTACATTTGTCCTCATCTGTCAGAAAGTGGCAATACCCTGGGGGCATTCATTACTTGCCACACTCCTCATGTTTCGTGCTGTGTGTGTCCTCTACAGCTGTGACCAGGAGAGAAATGTGAGCCGACTTAAAGGGAAAGACAGAAGGGAGCCCTGTGCAGACTGGCTGTTTGTTACAGCTTAAGCAAAAGTGCCAAAGAAACTCTGTGAATCAGGACTTGCACACAAGGATGGGGGTCAGACCCAAGCTGATGTCTACCTGGCTGAGAACGAGTCCCATTCACTGTATGAGGCTCATGGAGTCTTTGCCAAGGGGCTAGTCCCAGGTTCTGGGTATGTGGAGGGTCAGCATTCATGGGGAGACATTCCTCCGCCTCTTCTGTTCTTTCCCCTAAACCTGTTAACTCCTGACACACATCTTATGAATTTCTAAACCATATCGTCTAGTAGAAGATCACAGAAGTTGAGTCAGTGACTCACTGGGCCAAGTTCTATTCGTAGACAGGGAGACTGGGGAGAGTGGACTCATTGC